>NC_000006.12:158858668-159010183 GCF_000001405.40 Homo sapiens
CAGTCAAGCATGAGCTCCAGGGTCCTTGCCTGTGTGCCCCTCTTCCAAGGTCCTGTACCGATTTTTTAAAAATTCATAATTGTATAATACTTTTCTTAAATGGTGTGGGGCACAAAACATAGACCTGCATCGTAAGACCTGGCTCTACCCCTGGAATATGTTTCTGATCTGAAGATGACAACCTGGAGCAGTAAGCCCTTCAGTCCTTGGCAACAATTAATCATGTTTTGATTGAACATGGCTCCTAATTGTAAGGAGGCTTCAATGTTAAGAAGTGGTTTGTCTTCACTGTACTGTAGATTCTGACTTCAATACACATGTGACCTCAAAAAGTAAATTAATGCCGCCAGATCCAATTCTTCACATCCTTTCTGTCAGTAGCGCAGGTTCAAGAAGGCAGCTGGACACACTGCCTGGCACAAAGTGGGTGCCTGCCTCCAGGTTAGTGAATGCATGCTAGCAATTGTGGCAAAAACTTGTTAGCCTCAGTGTGTTTGAAGTCCTTGGTTTAAAAAAATAATAAAAAATATAGAAAAGTTGCAAGAATAATTCAAAGAACTTTTTAGTTCTTGAATAATTTGAAAGTAAGGGCTTGGTGTGGTGGCTCACACCTGTAATCCCAGCAATTTGGGAGGCCAAGGTGAGCAGATCACCTGAGGTCAGGAGTTTGAGATCTGCCTGGCCAACATGGAGAAACCCTATCTCTACTAAAAATATAAAAATGAGCCAGGTGTGGTGGCGCATATCTGTAGTCTCAGCTACTCAGGAGGCTGAGGCAGGAGAATCACTTGAACCCAGGAGGCGGAGGTTGCAGTGAGCTGAAATCATGCTATTGCACTCCAGCCTGGGCGACAGAGTGAGACTCTGTCTCAAAAAAAAAAAAAAAAAAAAAAAAAGTAAGGCCGGGCGGCTCACACTTGTAATCCCAGCACTTTGGAAGGCTGAAGTGGGAGGATTGCTTGAGCCCAGGAGTTTGAGACCAGCCTGGGCAGCATGAAGAGACCTCATCTCTACAAAACAATTTAAAAAATTAACCAGGTGTGATGGTGCACACCTGCAGTCCCAGCTCTTTGGGAGGCTGAGGTGGGAGGATCACATGAACCCAGAATGTGGAGTCTACAGTGAGCCATGATCACACCACTGCACTCCAGCCTGGACTACAGAGTGAGACCCTGTCTCAAAAAAAAGAAAAAGTTGCAGGCATGATTTCCTTGTACCTCTAAAAACATTAGTATATATGGCCCACAAACAAAGACACTCTTCCATACACCCTCAGTATAACCATCAAGATCAGGACACCCTGTTCAATGTTAACCAGTTGTCCAAATGATCTTATTTTTTAATAATTAAATTAAATTTCAGATTCAAGGGGTATACGTGCAGGTTTGTTACATGGGTATATTGCATAATGGTGACGTTTGGGCTTCTAGTGTACCTGTCCCCCAAAGAGTGAACACTGTACCCAATAGGTGATTTTTGAACCCTCACCCCTCCCACCCTCTGAATGATGTTCTTTGTAGCCAAATGATCCAGTCCAGGATCAGGCACTTCATTTAGTTGTCGTGTTTCTTTAGTCTCTGTCAGTCTGGAACGTTTCCTCAGTCTCTCCTTGTCTCTCAGAACAGTGACATTTTGAAGATTACAGGCATTATTTTGGAAAATGTTCCTCAATTTGGGTTTGTGTGATGTTTTCTCAGAGATTCAGATTATGCATTTTGGAGGAATTTCGCAGAAATGATTCATGTTCTTATTGTATCTTATCAGGGGGCACGTGGTTCTGTTTGTCCCATTATCGATGACGTTAACTTTTATTTTTTGGCAGCTCCTGCCTGAGGTTTATCTACAAATGACACAGAAAGGACACCAGGCCCATTCAGATGGCAACCCAGGAAGACACCAGTCCTTCTGTCCTCACATTAACAGAAGGAGGCCTCTGCTCGAGAGCCTTCATGGGGGCTGAGGAACCTTTGGGAGCCTGAGCTGATGGAGACTGGGCCTAAGCCTTTGGCCTACAGAGTCTGAGACCCTGGTGATGTGGGCGCCCCAGGCAATGTGGGCACCAGTACACTTCCTGAACTTGGGCTGAGCAATGAGGACAAGTCAATTGAGCCTGTGGCTTTGGGGATCTGCCTTGGGATTTCTGAGGGCCCTGATGGCCTCTGCAAGTACACTCCCAGCCTTGGCATTGTTGACCTGCTTCTTCTCCAGGCCCTATTTTTTTTCTTTTTTTGAGACAGTGTTTCCCTCTTGTTGCCCAGGCTGGAGTGCAATGGCACGATCTCGGCTCACCGCAACCTCCGCCTCCTAGGTTCAAGCAATTCTCCTACCTCAGCCTCCTGAGTAGCTGGGATTACAGGCATGTGCCACCATGCCCAGCTAATTTTTTGTATTTTTAGTAGAGACGGGGTTTCTCCATATTAGTCAGGCTGGTGTCGAACTCCCAACCTCAGGTGATCTCCCCGCCTCAGCCTCCCAAAGTGCTGGGACTGTATACAGGCGTGAGCCACTGCGCCTGCCCTGTCCAGATCCTTTTTGTGCTTCTTTGCAAACTATATGTTTCTCAGGAACATCTTCATGGTTTATTGATGCCATGTGTGTGTCATTTTGAGGACTGGTTGTGTGCGACGTAGTTGTTAGACTTATCCATGTTTGCACTCTAGTCGGCCAATGATTTAACTTTGATCGCTTGATTCAGGTGGTATCCGTCAGGTTTTTCCACCATCAGTTACTTATTTTCTCTTTGTTTTTAATAAGTACTTATTTGAGACTATATAAATGTCCTATTCCTCATCAAACTTTCAGTCACTAGTTTTAGCATCCATTGAAGTTTCTTCCTTAATTATTACTATGATGGTTAGCAAAAGCTGATTTTCTAATTCTGTCATTCTATCTACACTTACTGGTTGCACGCTACTATAACATTGAGCTTTCCCTTTTAATATCTATCTATCTATCTATCTATCTATCTATCTATCTATCTACCTCAGTATGGACTTGTGGATTCCTATTTTATTCGATGAATTTATCATCTCTTATTACCATTATATATCTTGATACTTTAATTGTTCCAGACTTGGCTAGTGAGAGCACATTCAAGTTGGCTTCTGTGTCCTTTGGACTTATTTCCATTATACTTTGAGTGCTTCCTGACTTTCTGGCCAAACAAGATGTTCTAGGCTCCTTCTGTACTTTCTCTGACTCAGCCGTGGAACCAGGAAGCCCTGCTCCTTTTAATAGAGAATGATTTTTAGAAACCAAGATTTTGGTGATAGGTGTGCTTGCTGCTATTGGGATCTCACTGCTTTAGTATCTTTTAATAGTCAGAACTAGAAAATATATGCGTGTACACGCACACACACACACACAGATACTGAAAACCTACAGTGCATATTGATGCCTCCAATTCCAAAGCAATGCTACATGGTTTATTCAGCTTCTCCCCTTTCATACTTGTAACTCCCCCTTTCAACAGTAAGAAACCCGACACTCATTATCCTGAATATATTTACTTATTTGCTCAATCTCTCTGTATGAAACTAGTCTACTGACTCTGCCAGGCCACTGCCCTGCTTAGCAAACTCTCTTTGTGTGGGCCACTGATCTCAAGGGCTTTAGAACTGAATTATTAAGGAAAGAAGACAGGAAAGCCTTGGTTTGCTTTTAGAATGGGAATATTATAGATTGTAAAGACCTTATATGTGTGGATCAGCAACACTAGCAACATGGATCAGCTTAGGAAGGTGACTTGGTCAGGCGCGGTGGCTCACGCCTATAATCCCAGCACTTTGAGAGGCTGACGAGGGCAGATCATGAGGTCAAGAGATTGAGACCATCCTGGCCAACATGGTGAAACCCTGTCTCTATTAAAAACACAAAAATTAGCTGGGTGTGGTGGTGTTCGCCTGCAGTCCCAGCTACTCCGGGAGGCTAAGGCAGGAGAATCGCTTGAACCTGGAAGGTGGAGGTTGCAGTGAGCCAAGATTGCGCCACTGCACTCCAGCCTGGTGACAGAGCAAGACTCCATCTCAAAAAAAAAAAAAAAAAAAGAAGGTGACTTCAGAAGTTCTGATTTTATGTCCTTTTTTCACTAACAATCTGTGACACACTTTATGTACAGAGATGAAGTAGGGCTTCTGGATATCCTGAAGTCCCTAGGTTACTGAGACTGTCAGGTATTGCTATTTTGGATATTGCATTTAAAGAGAAGTTTGCTATATTTTATGCATGTTTAGGTGTTTTCATAGTGAATGTGTTTTCAAATTAGATTGGCCTCTTTTCAAAATATATAAGGCTGGGCGCAGTGGCTCACGCCTGTAATCCCAGCACTTTGGGAGGCTGAGGTGGGTGGATCACGAGATCAGGAGATCGAGACCATCCTGGCTAACACGGTGAAACCCCGTCTCTACTAAAAATACAAAAAAATTAGCCGGGCATGGTGGTATGCGCCTGTAGTCCCAACTACTCGGGAGGCTGAGGCAGGAGAATGGCGGGAACCCAGGAGGCGGAGCTTGCGAGCCGAGATCTCGCCACTGCACTCTAGCCTGGCCACAGAGCGAGACTCAGTCTCAAAAAATATATGTGTGTGTGTGTGTGTGTGTGTGTGTGTGTGTGTGTGTGTGTGTGTGTGCGTGTATACACATACATACAGAGAGAGAGAGAGAGGGAGAGAGACAAGATCTCACTATGTTACCCAAGCTGGTTTCAAACCTCTGAGCTCAAGTGATCCTCCCGTCTCAGCCTCCCAAAGTGGTAGGATTACAGGCATGAGCCACTATGCCCAGCCAGATTGTTCCCTTTATTACCAGAAATTTTGGTCTTGAACACGAGTTTGAAAGTATCTTAGTTGAGTAATTCCTCTGAAAAGTCTGCCTGTACTTCTACTGGCAAGTAAACTGTTAATGTGGCCAGGTCTAGAATGAAGGCCACTGGCTACCCCCTGGAAACTTCCAGTCCTTGGAGAATGCCTGGGAAACCTCTGGAAAACATCCAGACATCAGGCCTTTCCAAGGTCTGCCCATCTTGACTCCTATGCCTGGTGGAGTGAACCAGCTCATTCTAAGAGGCTTTCGGGCACCTCTGTGAAGCTGCTCACTCAAGAGTCCATGCAATCACCACACAGAGTTTCAGCCACTGACCCATCATCCAAAGTGAGCAGCTTTGGAGAAGGGGCTCATGCCCCAGGACTAGGTGAATGTGTCTCATGATTCCTCCCCGCAGCCATAAAAGACTTTATTTTGCATTCCGTGCATTTTTAGGATTGCTGCTGTAAAATGCTACTCTGGTGAGCCATCCTGCCCAGATCCACCTAAATGTGGTACAATTCCTTAGTTTCACTGTGGAGGAAATAATCAAGACTCCTCAAAGCAAGGCACAGCGAATGGCTTGAACACTTCTGAATTTCATTCTGATGGATTTTGATCCCATATTCTTTGAGACAGCTGTTTCTGTAGAATCGGTGACTTCTTTCCAGACTCAGATGTACCTCTGAACTGATTTTTAGCTGTTCATTCTGTACTATGCATTTCTTGTGCTCTGATTTTTTTTTTTTTTTTTTTGCAGGAATGCTGCCTTCATATCACCAGTAGTGTTTATGTTAGAATGTGCCCCTTCAGTGACTGTGGCAGTCTGCAATGTATTAATCCACTCAATGGCTAGGGCCTTTAACGAGTATTATATACTTCCAAGAAGGTGCTAGCAGAGAGCCTCACCATGCATTTTACAGCAAAGAAGTGAGCAATGTCATTAAGACACCCTCCAACTTGCAGTTTTTAGACAGAAGGCCAATTCTGTATGTATAAGAACACTGTATGTATTAAACGTGGTAATGATCTCCCAGGCTGCTGGAACCATTTGTTCACTATCACAGAACCATGACTGATGACATCTGGTAAAATGCTTTCCCTAAAAATCCTGCAAATTCACCTGACGTTCTGGTTCTGGGTAAAACAGAGACAGTAAAATATCTTGAGGCAAATATTAAGGACAATACCACAGCCCAGGAGAACTGGACACTAGAGCCGAGTCTTCCCTTTTTCTTCCTTCTGTACAGCATGGAAAGCCAGTCAGCAGGCTCCAGGAAGCAGCCTTTCTGATATTCTCTTTGCTTTTTTTTTTGAGACAGAGTCTCGCTCTGTCACCCAGGCTGGAGTGCAGTGGCACAATCTCGGCTCACTGCAACCTCTGCCTCCCGGGTTCAAGCAATTCTCCTGCCTCAGCCTCCTGAGTAGCTGGGACTACAGGCACGCACCATCATGCCTGGCTAATTGCTGTATTTTTAGTTGAGACGGGGTTTCGCTGTGTTGGCCAGGCTGGTCTCGAACTCCTGACCTCAAGCGAGCTACCAGCTTCGGCCTCCCAAAGTGCTGGGATTACAGGCGTGAGCCACTGGGGCTCCCCACTCTGATATTCTCTCAACTGCCTGTAAGCTCCACACTGCCCTCAGGATGGTGGTCTAATGCCTTAGCGTGGCTGTCAAGCCATCTGTGTTTTGACTGACCTTATCCCCCGACACTCCCAGATCGTGAGCCTTGTGCTTGGTGTTGCCTACAATCTCCATAGCCTTCCCCATCCTTCCACCTTTGCACACCTACTTAAATTCCTCCATGGTTGCAATTAGCTCTCAGCTGCCTTATTTGCTTATTCATCTCTCACTCCACTAGACTGCAAGCCCTTCCATAGCAGGAAACATGAACTACTCCTATTTATTCCTATGTACATGCTTGGGACATAGAAAGCAAGAATTATTTGTTGAACGACTGGATGGATGAATGAATGCTTCAAAAGAGCCATTTAAAATGTAGATTCTCATTGAATGCTCAGGTTTCAGGGTGATGGCTGTGTTCACTTGTTTAGCAATAGTAGAGGACATTTTCACTACCTGCTAGCGTTTGGCTCCTCAGTTTTGTTTAATAGAAGATGTAGTATTGGGGCAACAGTAATGAGTTAGAGAACAGGCAGGTTTTCAACAGCAGCCCTTTATTGCAGCAAAAATTTATTGCAGCAAAAGATAATCTGAGCCAACCACAACCTAAATCACTGTTGCTGGCAATGACAGGAGTTAAAAGGAGAATCAAAATGATTATGTTGAACCACTCTGGCATCCGGCATCTATTACAGTGCATCCTCAGTTCATGTTACTATTTTTGTAGCTAATAACATCAGTTTTTTCAATAATTGATCTTACATATTTAATATATATGTTAATTTCACATTACTTAGATACAAGTGCTATGAAAGATTGCTAAGTCTAAAAGCAGAAGTGAATGTGGTCTAAAAAAGTGAGTTTGATGAATTTCTTTTCTATTGAGCTGGCTGCTCATTTGACTAAATCAACTAATCCACACAGGTGTTTGGGTGTCAAGTACGTGTTGCCTAAGTCATATTCTTTTGAGCTAGAAAAGTTGTTCCACTTAATTTCAAACCATTTTGTTAATACTTTCCAAATTTCTGGAAATCTGCTCATTTAAAACTTACTTGGATGTCTAATGGTTTGCAAATTTTGTATTTTAGCAGTAGTATCCACCACTACCCTGATGTGCAACACACACTGCACATTTTACAACTTTATACTTGAAGACTTAAAAGTCTCCCTTTGACTGATTAGCGGTGTTGAAAATGATGGGTCATGTCTATGATGCAAAATCAATTGACAAAAAATACTGAATGGCTTTAAAAGGGAAAAGCATCTCTGAATTATGTTTGTAAAGGAACATCTTTAATTTTTCTTAAATTCTACTTTCTGTTCTTAGTTTTTTGTCTTTTTTTCTTTTTCTTTTTTATTTAGAGATGGGGTCTCACTGCATTGCTCAGGCTGGTCTGAAACTCCTGGCTTCAAGTAATCCTCCCACCTTGGCCTCCCAAAGTACTGGCATTACAGGCATGAGCTACTGTGCCCAGCCCAATGTTTTGCTTTTCAATAAACTTTGTTTTCTTTTTTATTTATTTAGTCTTACCAGACCAAATTATTTTCATTAAGAGTTATGGTCAGAGTTGGAGCTTGGGAGCAGTAAGAAGGAACAGGTTATAATAATAAAAATACTATTTCCCTAATACTTGTTTGTAAACCATGCTTTTTGTTTTTGTTTTTCAACATACCCATTTTTCTCAATAGGCTATATTGCTGAAAAGTTTTCAGAAAGTTCTATTAAAAAATAACCAAAGTCTTACACTTAATAGATTTTTAGTAACTTTGTTAAATGAATGTCAGACACAAAGCTAATGCTAGTATTTGGAAGTGATGTCGTTGAAGTTTTGATAAGGACATTTAAAGTTATGGATGATAATTAAGTCTTACTGTAAATTACTACCTGACTATGAAACTTAGTACAGTCAATGTAGCTCTGTAAGAGAAATAATAAAGATAGAATAGTCATGACTAGGTGCTTTTCTTCTTAATCATTCACGGGAAGGAGCAAAAAAGATAATGAACATTTTTTTGAATACCTATTTGTGCCACTCAATAATTCAGGAACTTCAGAGATCTCAGTTAATCCTTTCAGCCAAACAGGTTACAAATAAAGAATCTGAGGTTCATAAAAGTTTGGAAATTCATACAACTTCAGAGAGACGGGTTGGGGGATGGTGGGACTGGGGATTAAACCCAAGCCTGCCTGGCTCCAAGGCAGTTTCCACTGCAGGGTCTACTGTATTTGGAATTTCTATCAGGTAGTTCTGGTAGCTTTTTGGAAGAAAGTGTAGAAGAAAGTTTGAAAGTCATTCTTATGATCGGTTTGCTTCCTGGTTCCTAACCAACCAAGTGGATCTAAGTGAGGCCACTTTGTAAACAGGTCGTTCTCCAAATTGATGAACACAGCAGAATCTGAGACATTTTCAGAAACTTTGTACTGCAGATTTAATATGGTCTGTTGCTCAGGGGAAGCGGAGATTGTTGAGACTGTAGGCACCCTTATTTTCCCTCTCACATAGCAATCTTTTTTTTTTTCTTAAGACAAGGTCTCGCTCTGTCACCCAGGATGGAGTGCTGCGGTGTGATCACAGCTCACTGCAGCCTGAACCTCCTGGGCTAAAGTGATCTTTCCACCTCAGCCTCCCAAATAGTGGGGATTACAGGTGTGAGCAACCACGCCCCACAGTAGCAATCCTTTTCTTAAACCAGCAGCAGGACAAATGTCTTCCTGAAGATTTGTAACACCTGGTAGTGATCCCAACTCCTTCTGGGCCCGCTTAAGACTAAGTTTCTGGTTAGGAAAGAAGAAACTGCAGAGCTTAGTAGTTAAGGGCACACAGGAGTCAGACAACCTTGGGTGTGAATCCCGGCACTGCCATGGTACTAATGTGTTGCATGAGTCATGTTGAGAGGTGAGGCCAGCTGGACTTCCTGGGTCCAGTGGGGACTTGGGGAACTTTCCTGTCTTACAAGAGGATTGTAAAACGCACCAATCAGCAGGATTCTAAAAGTAGCCAGTCACGGGAAGGATTGAAAAAGAGGGCACTCTGATAGGATAGAAATGGAACATGGGTGGGGACAATAAGGGAATAAAAGCTGGCCACCCCAGCCAGCAGCGGCATCCCACTTGGGTCCTCCTCCATGCTGTGGAAGCTTTTTCGCTCTTCACAATAAACCTTGCTACTGCTCACTCTTTGGGTCCCGGCCATCTTTAAGAGCTGTAACACTCACCGCGAAGGTCTGTGGCTTCATTCTTGAAGTCACTGAGACCACGAACCCACTGGCAGGAACCAAGTCCAGACACAATGTTATGCAAGCTTTCTAGACCCTTTCTGTAAAATGGGTATAATAATAGTATCTAAGTCATGGGGATTTTGTGAGGATTAAATGAAATGCCTGTTAAGCATTTAAAATGCCTGGCACATTGAAAGTTCTTTTTGGAGACAAGTCTTGCTCTGCCGCCCAGGCTGGAGTGCAGTGACATGATCTCTGCTCACTGCAGCCTCTGCCTCCTGGGTTCAAGCAATTCGGTGCCTCAGCCCTGAGTAGCTGGGATTACAGGCATGCGCCAACACGCCCACCCAATTTTTGTATTTTTAGTAGAGATGGGGTTTCACCATGTTGGCCAGGGTGGTCTGGAACTCCTGACCTCAGGTTATCCTCCTGCCTCGACCTCCCAAAGTGCTAGGATTACAGGTGTGAACCACTGCCTTTGGGCCAAAAGTACTTAATTCTTATTGATGTCCACATTCAACAATTACTAGGTTTGTTTTTTCTGCATCCAGCTGCAAATGATCTTCAAAGTTGTGAACTCAGGAAATCTCAGAGGCGTTTATAGGCTTTCCAACCAGAGATGATATTTGTAATTCAAAGAAGTAAATAGAAATCCTTAAGAGAACCCCTTTCAAGCTAAGTTCCCATCTAATATGGAGTGGTGGCTTCGAATGATCCTTTTGGCTTATCTTTTTAAGTGTAAGAATTTTTGATGAATCACACTTCGTACCTATTTGGTCACTTTCACCAAAGTACAAAACCAGTCTGCCACCAGAAGAAATTTAATAACCTTGAGACTCAGAGAAGCAATGCTGCCTGATTGGTGGACAGCCAGACCAGTGAGGGTCAGACGTGGCTCTTCGGCTCCGGACACGGGAATGTGGTGGAAATGAGATCCTCCAGCGATTCTAAGGAGTGTTTTGTTCTTCTGGCTTAAGAGAAGGGCAGAGGACAGAACCAAGGGGAAAGAGAGACAGGCCCAGCCATTGTCTGACGTGAGGCACGATAACACATTAGAGGGCTGGTTTAGCAAAGGGCAAGGTAGAGTTGGCATTAGACGCGCTTGCAAAGGGAGGCGGGCAAGAGCTTCAAGACGCGAATGACACTTGAGCAGCCTGGGCTCACGTCTGGTAAGGTTTACGCCGCCTGTTCCCGCCATCTGGCAACTCCCTCCCAGAAGGGTGAGTTTGGTTCTTGGCAAATCCCCTTCGGACACACAAGCTCTTTTATTAAAATATAACCCCACTAACAGATTGCAGACTAGGCACAGAAGCCCCAAAGCACCCCCAGAGACCGCAGCAGTCCCGCCCCGCCGCCCCCGGATCCGCGCGGCTGCCAGAAGCTCCCCTCCCCCAGATCTTGGCCCCTCCCTGAGGCGCGCGAGCGTGTCGTCGCCCGCTCCCGGCCAATCAGGGCGCGCGACCAAAATAGCGCCATATAAAAGCTGGATGGCGGGCGCGGCCGGTGCAGAGCCTCGCGCTGGGGTGGGGTTGCGCGCGCAGGTGAGGGGGGCGGGGCCGGCGCGACCGGCGGGGCGGGGCGGACACTCCCACCGCGCACCTGCTTCTGCCTGACGTGTACCCGGAAGGTCGTCAGCTCAGGCTCCAAATATGTAACAGTGAGTTTCTAAGTGAGTCACACGGACGCGGTTGGTTTCCAGTGAGGCATAACTCATCGCTTCACTCTTCTCAACGGTTCCCTCTTCGGAAGGAAGCGCAGTCCGCAGCGTCGTCCGAGGGCGTGATCGCCTGCGTCGCACCCGCGTCTCCAGTGGCCACCCCTTGTCCTACAGGAACGCGCATCTGCTTAGCAGGCGCTGAGCCCTTGAGGAGGCCTAAAATGAATGAACGCGGCTGTGCCTCCTGAGCAGGCTCACAGTTGTGGGTGGGGGACAGAAGGGTGTCCATGCCTAAGGTCGACGGCGATAAGACAGACGTTCTTCCCAGGAGGAGATCAGTTCCAGGTGGGAGGCATTTCTAGGAGTCACCTTTCTCCGAGGAAGTGACCTGAGCTGTAGGAGGTGGAATCACAAAGGCTTTGGTGCCCTACACACCTGGGTTTTAGCCTCAGCTTGAGTCACTCACCCAGTCTGTGACGCTGAACACATCAGGAAACCTCAAACTTTCCCCATCTTTAAGATGCAGATAATAGCCGGTCACCATGGCGTGTGCTTGTAATGGCAGCTACTCGGGAGGCTGAGGCAGGAGGATCTCTTGAACCTGGGAGGTGGAGGTTGCAGTAAGCCGAGATCGTGCCACTCACTCCAGCCTGGGCAACAGAGCGAGACTCCATCTCAATAAATAAATAAATAACACTACATGACTGATAGCATATTTTTGAGGAGCATCTCTCCCCCTCCGTGCTTGGGTTTAATCCCCCCTTCCTCTCTCCCTCCCTCCCTTCCTCCCTTCTTTCTTCCTTCGTTACGTTTCTCTTCATTTCTTTTTTTCTCCATCATTCCTTCATTTTTCTTATTTTTTCCTAACTGATATAATTTACACACAATAAATCGCACAGAAATTAAGAGGACAGCTGGGTGAAGTTTTACATATGTATACACATGTCATTAGCCCCTAGGTCAAGATCTAGAACATTTCCATCACCCCAGGTTTCCAACTGCTCCTTCCGGTCAGTAGTACTTCCCCAGAGGTAACCACTATTCATTTGGACTTAAATTACCAAGTATGAGTTGTGTCTACTCTTAAACTTCATGTAATTGCAATCAAGCATTATGCTTTATTCCAAACTTGTCCAACCCGCACAGGCCACGGTTTTGAATGTGGCCCAACACAAATTTGTAAACTTTCTTAAAACATTGCGAGATTTTTTGTGACTTTATTTATTTATTTATTTTTTTGAGACAGAGTCTCTGTTGCCCAGGCTGGAGTGCAGTGGTGTGATCTCGGCTTACTGTAACCACCGCTTCCCAGGTTCAAGCGATTCTCATGCCTCAACCTCCCGAGTAGCTGAGATTACAGGCTGGTGCCACCACACCTGGCTAATTTTTGTATTTTTAGTAGAGATGGGGTTTCACCATATTGGGCAGGCCGGTCTCAAACTCCCGACCTCAGGTGATCTGACCACCTCGGCCTCCCAAAGTGCTGGGATTACAGGCATCAGCCACCGCGCCCCGCCATGTGATTTTTTTTTTTTTTTTTTAGCCCATCAGCTATTGTTAATTTTAGTGTATTTTATGTGTGGCCCAAGGCAATTCTTCCAGTGTGGCCCAGGGAAGCCAAAAGATTGGACACCTTTGCATTTCTGTTTTTTTTCACCCACCGTAGTGTCTGTAAGATTCCTCCATGTTATCACACGTATCAGTAGTTTGAAGTTTGTTTATTACTGAATAGTATTCTATTGCATGAATATACTTAAGTTAACTTATCCTTTTTACCATTGATGTGTATGTGGGTTGTTTTCAGTTTTTGGCTATTATGCATAAAGCTGCTCTGAACATTCATGTAGTATGATGAATAATTGATTTTAGTAGGATATATACCTATAAAAGGAATTTTTGTGTCATAGGATGATAGGTGTATATTTAGTTTTAGTAGACACTGCTGGCAGTTTCCCAAAAGGATTGAATCAATTTTTGAAAATTGGCTGGCCGCAGCAGCTCACGCCTGTAATCCCAGCACTTTGGGAGGCCGAGGCAGGTGGATCACGAGGTCAGGAGTTCGAGACCAGCCTGGCCAATATGGTGATTCTCCATCTCTACTAAAAAAAAAAAAAAAAAAAAAAAATTAGCTGGGCATGGTGGCGTACGCCTGTAGTCCCAGCTACTTGGGAGGCGTAGGCAGAAGACTCTCCTGAGCTCAGGAGGCAGAGGTTGCAGTGAGCTGGGATCATGCCAATGCACTCCAGCCTGGGTGACAGAGCGAGACTACATCTCAAAAAAAAAAAAAAAAAAAAAAAAAAGGACTGGTCGAGGTGGCTCACGCCTGTGATCCCAGCACTTTGGGAGTCCAAGGCAGACAGATCACCTGAGGTTGGAAGTTCGAGACCAGTCTGACCAACATGGAGAAACCGCGTCTCTACTAAAAATACAAAATTAGCTGGCCATGGTGGCGCATGCCTGTAATCCCAGCTAGCTACTCGGGAGGCTGGGGCAGGAGAATCGCTTGAACCTGGGAAGTGGAGGTTGCGGTAAGCCGAGATCATGCCATTGCACTCCATCCAGCCTGGGCAACAAGAGTGAAACTCCATCTCAAAAAAAAAAAAAAAGAAAAGAAGAAAAGAAAATTATAGTTACTTCACATCCTTGCCAACAATTGGTGTTAACAGTCTTAAATTTTTGATGGTTATGCAGCAGTATTTCCTAGTGGTTTTTTTTTTTTTTTTTTTTGAGACAGAATTCTGTCACCCAGGCTGGAGTGCAATGGCACGATATTGGCTCACTGCAACCTCTGCCTCCCGGGTTCAAGCAATTCTCCTGTCTCAGCCTCCTGAGAAGCTGGGATTACCGGCATGCGCCACCATACCCGGCTAATTTTTGTATTTTTAGTAGAGACGGGGTTTCACCGTGTTGGCAAAGCTGGTTTTGAACTCCTAACCTCAGGTGATCTGCTCACCTCGGCCTCCCAAAGTGCTGGGATTACAGACGTGAGCCACCGCACACGGCCAAAATCAGGTTGTTTTCTTACCATTGAATTTTGAGAGTTCTTTAAATATTCTGGATACAAGTTCTTTATTAAAAAGACTCCCTTCCATTGACTTTGCACCTGCCACTTTGTGAAACGTCAGTTGGCCATATTTGTGTGAATTTATTTCTGGACCATTTGTTCTGTTTCATTGATCTGTGTCTATCCCTTCACCAACACGACACTGTCTTGATTGCTGTAGCTTTAAAGTAAGTCTTAGCGCCCTCCAACTTTGTTCTTTTTCCTGATTACTTGGGTATTTTACTTCATTTGACTTTCCATATGTATTTTAGGCTTGTCTATATGTTTTAACAATCCTGCTGGGAATTTTGTTCTTTTTTTGTTTGTTTTGTTTTGTTTTTCAGACAGAGTCTCAGTCTGTAGCCCCGATGGAGTGCAGTGGTGCCATCATAGCTCACTGTAACCTCAAACTCCTGGGCTCAGGGGATCTTTCTGCCTCAGCCTCCTGAGTAGCTAGGATCACAGGTGTGCATCACCACACCTGGCTAATTAAAAAAAAATTTTTTTTTTTTTTGGTAGAGACGGAGGTCTCGCTATGTTGCCCATACTGGTCTCAAAATTCCTGGCCTCGAGTGATCCTCCTGTCTCAGTCCCTGAAATGCTGGGATTACAGGTGAGCCACTGTGCCCCACCACGTGGGGGATTTTGGTTGTATTTGTGTTAAATCTATAGATCAATTGGAGGAGAATTGACAACTGTATTGAGTCTTCCAGTCTGTGAATATAGTATGTCTTTACATTTATTTAGATTGTTTTATTTCTTTCATCAGCATTTTGTGGTGTTCATATATAGATCCTTTACGTGGTTTGTTAGATTTATGCAGACTATTTTTCAAAGCCACTGTGATTTAAAAAATTTGGTTTCCGGATATTCATTACTATTATAAAGAAATATAGTTGGTTTTCATGTGTTAACCTTGTATCCTGCAATCTCACTAAACTGACATTGGTTTTAGAAGGTTTTTATGGAATCCATGAGATTTTTTACACAGGCAATCATGTTTGTGAATAGGTACTAGGGACAGTTGCGTTTTCTCCTTTCCAATCTGTATGACTTTCATTAAATTTTATTTCCCTGTTTGACAAGATAGGTCTTCCCGTGCAATGTTGAGTAGGAGGGGTGAGGTGGAGTTCCTTGCCTTGTTCCTGATCTTAGAGGGAAAGAAGCATTACGTCTTTCACAGTGTGTTTAGTTATAGGCTTTTTTGTAGGTGTGCTTTATCGGTTTAGAGAGCTCTGTTCGATTCCTCATTTGCCGACTGCTTGTACCGTGAATTGATGTTGAATATTGTCGGTTGATGTGGTCTTGTTGCAGATTACATTTTCATTGATTTTCAAATATTGCATCTCGGGAATAAACCCCGGATCATGGTGTGTAATTTTTTTTTATGTATTACTGTTTCAATTTGTTAGTATTTTGCATCTGTGTTGATGAGGGATATTGATTCATGAGGATCTTTTTTTTTTTTTTTGTATTTTCTTTATCTGGTTTTAGTATCATGATGATGCTCATCTCATAAAATGAGTTAGGAAGCATTCCTTCCACTTCTGTTTTCTGGAAGAAACTATGTAGAGCTCATGTTATATCTTTCTAAAATCTTTGGTACTATTTGCTGATGAAACCATTTGGGGCTGCAGATTTCTGTTAAGGAAGATTTTCAACTAGAAATTCAATTTTTTTAATAGATAAAGGATTTATTTAGGTTTTTAATTTATTCTTGGATGAGTTTTGGTAGCTCGTGGCCATCAAAGAATTGATCCACTTTATGTAAGTTGTCAAATTTATGTGTGCACAGTTGTTTGTGTAATTTATTACCCTTTTAGAGTCTGTGGGGTGCTCAGTGATAGCCTATCCTTCATTCCTAATTATTGGTTTTGATTTTTTAAAATTAATTTCCTATTTTCAATTCCAATGATTTCTGTTCTAATTTTTATTATTATTTTCCTCTTATTCTGCTTGCTTTAGGCTTATATTCTTTTCTTTTTATAGTTTTCTAAGGTGGAAGCTTGGATTATTGATACTAAATCTTTCTTCTTTTTTTTGAGACAGAGCCTTGCTCTTGTCGCTCAGACTGGAGTGCAATGGCACAATCTTGGCTCACTGCAACCTCCACCTCCCAGGTTCAAGTGATTCTCCTGCCTCAGCCTCCTAAGCAGCTGGGATTACAGGTGCCTGCCACCACTCCTGGCTAATTTTTTATTTTTAGTAGAGACGGGGTTTTGCCATGTTGGCCAGGCTGGTCTCTAACTCCTGACCTCATGATCCACCCGCCTTGGCCTCCCAAAGTGCTGGGATTATAGGCATGAGCCACCGCGCCTGGCCTCTTCTTTTCTAATATATGCATTAAGTGCTAAAAATGTCCATCGAAGCATTGCTTTTACTATATCCCACAAGATTTGGTAAGTTGTATTTTCATTTTTATTTGGTTCAAAACAATTAAAAATTTCTCTTGAGACTTTTTATTTTACACAGGTGTTATTTAGAAATACGCTGTTTATTCTCTAAATATTTTCAGCATTTTTAGCTCTCTGTTACTACCTTTCAAAAATTATTTATGTAGTTTTAATTTTTCACTTTTTAGTTTTAATTCCACTGTTGTCTAACAGCAACTTTGTATTATTTCTGTTCTTTTAAATTTGTTGAGGTATGTTTTCTGGCTAGGATATGATCTAGGTTGGTGAATGTTCCACGTGATCTTGGGAAGAGTGTGTATTCTGATGTTGATGGATGAAGTAGTCTACAGATGTCAGTTCGATCCAGTTGATTGATTGATGCTGTTTGGTTTAACTATATCTGGACTGCCTACTGAATCTGTCAGTTACTGACAGAGGAGTGTTGAAGTCTCCAACCATAATATTTGATTTGTCTATTTCTCCCTGGATTTTTTTTTTTTTTTTTTGAGATGGAGTCTCGCTCTGTCTCCAGGGTAGAGTGCAGTGGCACGATCTTGGCTCACTGCAACCTCCACCTCCCGGGTTCAAGCAGTTCTCCTGCTTCAGCCTCCTGAGCAGCTGGGACTACAGGCTACCACACCTGGCTAATTTTTGTACTTTTAGTAGAGACGGGGTTTCACCATGTTGGCCAGAATGGTCTCAATCTCTTGACCTCGTGATCCGCCCGCCTCAGCCTCCCAAAGTGCTGGGATTACAGGCGTGAGCCACCACGCCTGGCCTTTTTTTTTATATGTATATTTTAAGATGGAGTCTTGCTCTGTCTGTGCACCCAGGCTGGAGTACAAATGATGTGATCTCGGCTCACTGCAACCTCTGCCTCCCAGGTTCAAGCAGTTCCTCTGCCTCAGCCTCCCAAGTAGCTGGGATTACAGGCACCCACCATCACACCTTGCTAATTTTTGTATTTTTAGTAGAGACGGGGTTTCACCATGTTGGCCAGGCTGGTCTTGAACTCCTGACCTCAAGTGATCCTCCTGCCCTGGTCTCCCAAAATGTTGGGATTACGGGCATGAGCCACTGCTCCTGGTCCTTTTTTTTTTTTTTTTTTTTTTTTTTTTAACAAGAGTCTTGCTCTGCCACCCAGGCTGGAGTGCAGTGGCATGATCTTGGCTCACTGCAACCTCCGTCTCCCATGCTCAAGCGATTCTGCTGCCTTAGCCTCCTGAGTAGCTGGGACTATAGGCATGCGCCATCAGGCCTGGGTAATGTTTGTATTTTTAGTACAGATGGGATTTCACTATGCTGGCCAAGCTGGTCTCGAACGCCTGACCTCAGGTGATCCACCTGCCTCAGCCTCCCAAAGCGCTGGGACTACAGGCATGAGCCACCATGCCTGGCCATTTTTTTCTTCCTTTGATGTAAATTTTCCTTTCTTTATGTAGATCTGAGTTTCTGACCTATATAGTTTCCCTTTTTTCGAAAAACGTACCTTAGCATACCTTGTAAGGCAGTCTCCTGGCAACAAATTCCCCCAGTTTTTGTTTATCTGAGAAAGTCTTTATTTCCCCTTTTTTTGAAGGATAATTTCACTGGATACAGAATTCTAGGTTGGTGAGTTTTTGCTTTTTTCTTTTCAAAATATTTCATTCCACTGTCATCTTGCTTACATTGTTTCTGATGAGAAGTCTAATATAATTCTTATCTCTCTTCTGCACAAACAAGGTATTTTTATTCTGCTTTCTTTCTAGATATCCTCTTAGTCTTTGGTTTTCTGCAGTTTGAATGTGATGTGCCTAGCTAGAGATTTTTTGGTGTTTATCCTGCTTGGTGTTCTCTGATCTTCCTGGAGCCATGTTTAGATGTCTGTCATTAATTTTGGAAAATTCCTAGTGATTATTACTTTGAATATTTCTTTTGCTTATTTCTCTTTCTTCTTCTGCTATTCCCATTAAATGCATATTAGACCTTTTATAATTGTCCCACAGTAAGTGATAACTCTGTTTGAGCATTTCCTTCCTTCCTTCCTTCTCTCGCTCCCTCTCTCCCTTCCTCCCTCCCTCCCTCCTTCCTTCCTTTTTCTTTCTTTCTTTTTTTAATTTTTGAGACAGATTCCCGCTCTGTCGCCCAGGCTGGAGTGCAGTGGTGCGATCTCAGCTCACTGGCTCACTGCAACCTCCGCCTGCCAGGTTCAAGCGATTCTCCTGCCTCAGCCTCCTGGGTAGCTGGGATTACAGGTGCCTGCCACCACGCCCGGCTAATTTTTGTATCTTTAGTAGACATGGGGTTTCACCATGTTGGCCAAACTGGTCTCGAACTCCTGAACTCAGTTGATCTGCCTGCCTCAGCCTCCCAAAGTGCTGGGATTATAGGTGTGAGCCATGGCCCCTGGCCCTGTTTGAACACTTTCATTCTCTTTTTTGTTTTTCTCATGTTTCAGTTTGGGAAGTTTCTGTTGACGTATCTCACAGCCCACTGAATCTTTCTTCAGGCACATATAACCTACTGATGATACCATAAAGGCATTTTTCATTTCTCTCACAATGTTTTTAATTTCTAGGATTTTCTTTTGATTCATTCTTTTAGTTTCCATCTTTCTCATTATTTCCCTTCTATTCTTGCATGTCATCTGCCTTTTCCCTTATATCCTCATTATTTTAAATTCCCTACCTGATAATTCCAAAGTTTGTGCCACATCTAAGTCAGAGTCTAATGCATAGTTTGTTCTTCAGACTGTTTTTCTTGTATGTTAGCATCCTTGTAATTTTTTGTTCAAAGTCAGACATGATGTATCAGGCAATAGGAACTGAGATGATTAGGCTTTCAATGTGAGGATTTACGTTAATTTGGCCAGGAGCAGACCTGTGTTTAACGTTTGCTGTACCTGTAGTGCCAGATGCTTCCTCTACTTTCCTTTTTCTTTTTTTTGAGACAGAGTCTCGCTCTGTCACCCAGGCTAGAGTGCAGTGGCGCGATCTTGGCTCACTGCAAGCTCCGCCTCCTGGGTTCACGCCATTCTCCTGTCTCAGCCTCCCAAGTAGCTGGGACTACAGGCGCTCGCCACCACGCCCTGCTAATTTTTTGTATTTTCAGTAGAGACGGGGTTTCACCATGTTAGCCAGGATGGTTTCTAACTCCTGACCTCATGATCTGCCCGCCTTGGCCTTCCAAAGTGCTGGGATTACAGGCGTGAGCCACCGCGCCAGGCCTAGTTTCCTTTTTCTTGTCTTTGGGTTACCCTAAAACCTCCTTCTTCAATGGAGTCTGTGCTTTACACCTCTCTCAGTTGCAATCCTGTTTCCTGTTGTTACGCAGGAACCCTGTTGATGTGATAATTTGAGGGAGAGGAGGTGCTCTCTAACCATCTGATTAAATCTCAGCTTTTTAATGGCTCTGAAACCTCTAAAGGTGGACTGTGACCTTCAGAAGCTGTTCTTAGCCTTTTTTTTCTCTTTCTTTACCTGATACAGGAAGGCTAGAGGGGCTGGAGTTGGTTAATTGCCATTCCTCCAAATGAGATAAGACTCAGGTAAAATAGTTTCCCTTAGAAGGCAGGCCTTTGTTATAGAGAACTGAGTGTTTTTCAAAATGTTTACTTTCCCCCTGGATGTATTTTTAAATGGTTACTTTTCCTTTTCCCCTGCCTGAAACCCTGGTGAGGCTCCTGGAAATAAAGCCCATGAAAGTGTGGGGCCCCTCTAAGACTAGGCCCTCAGGACAGCTTAACCAGAAGTTCTGTTGTTTACGTTTAAATATTAGCTAGTTATCTTTCTCTTATGATTTTGATTTTGTAACCGCCCAAGGGGTTCACATTGCCTGCTGCCTAGACAGAGCCGATTGATCAAGACAGGGGAATTGCAATAGAGAATGAGTAATTCATGCAGAGCCGACTGTGCGGTACACCAGAGTTTTATTGTTACTCAAATCAGTCTCCCCCAGCATTCTGGGAGCAGAGTTTCTAAGGACAGCTTGGTGGATGGGGGAAGCCAGTGAGCCGGGGGTGCTGATTGGTCAGGGGTAAAATCACAGGGAGTCAAAGCTGTCTTCTTGCTCTGAGTCAGTTCCTTGGTGGGAACCACAAGATCAGATGAGCCAGTTAATCCATCTGGGTGGTGTCAGCTGATCCATCAAGTGCAGGGTCTGCAAATATCTCAAGCACTGATCTTAGGAGCTGTTTAGGGAGGGTCAGAATCTTGTAGCCTCCAGCCACATGACTCCTAAACCATAATTTCTAATCCTGTGGCTAATGTTAGTCCTACAAAGGCAGTCTAGTCCCCAGGCAAGAAGGAGGTCTGCTTTGGGAAAGGGCTGTTATAGTCTTTGTTTTAAACTATAAACTAAACTTCTCCAAAAGTTGGTTTGGCCTATGCCCAGGAATGAACAAGGACAACTTGGAGGTTAGAAGCAAGATGGAGTCGGTTAAATTAGATCTCTTTCACTGTCTCGGTCATAATTTTGCAAAGGTGGTTTCAATCTCCACTGTGATTGTAGAACTTTTTTTTTTTTTTTTTTTTTTGAGACGGAGTCTCGCTCTGTCACCCAGCCTGGAGTGCAGTGGCACAATCTCGGCTCACTGCAAGCTCTGCCTCCCAGGTTCATGCCATTCTTCTGCCTCAGCCTCCCGAGTAGCTGGGACTACAGGCGCCTGCCACCATGCCCGGCTAATTTTTTGTATTTTTAGTAGAGACGGGGTTTCACCATGTTAGCCAGGATGGTCTCGATCTCCTGACCTTGTGATCTGCCCGCCTCAGCCTCCCAAAGTGCTGGGATTACAGGCGTGAGCCACCGCGCCCAGCCAGAACATATTTTGTATGATTTCAGTTCATATTCTCTATGACTTCAATTCAGTATTTGTGTGATTTCAGTTCAGTCATACAAACATATTTTGTATGATTTCAGTTTGTATTTTCAAAATACAAAATCATATTTTGTTTAATTTCAATGCATCTTTTCAATGTATCAAGGGAGGATCGCGTCTCACACGTCTGTGTGCGTGTGAAGAGACCACCAAACAGGCTTTGTGTAAGCAACAAGGCTGTTTATTTCACCTGGGTGCAGGTGGGCTGAGTCCGAAAAGAGAGTTAGCAAAGGGTGGTGGGATTATCATTGGTTCTTATAGGTTTTGGGATAGGTGGTGGAGTTAGGAGCAATGTTTTGCGGGCAGGGGTGGATTTCACAAAGTACATTCTCAAGGGTGGGGAGAATTACAAAGAACCTTCTTAAGGGTGGGGGAGATTACAAAGTACATTGATCAGTTAGGGTGGGGCAGAAACAAATCACAATGGTGGAATGTCATCAGTTAAGGCTATTTTCACCTCTTTTGTGGATCTTCAGTTGCTTCAGGCCATCTGGATGTACATATGCAGGTCACAAGGGATATGATGGCTTAGCTTGGGCTCAGGGGCCTGACATTCCTGTCTTCTTTTATTAATAAGAAAAGCAAAACAAAATAGTGAAGTGTTGAGGCGGTGAAAATTTTTGGGGGTGGTATGGAGAGATAATGGGCGATGTTTCTCAGGGCTGCTTCGAGTGGGATTAGGGGTGGCGTGGGAACCTACTATGGGAGAGATTCAACTGAAGAAAGATTTTGGGGTAAGGGGTGATATTGTGGGGTTGTTAAAAGGAGCATTTGTCGTATAGAATTATTGGTGATGGCCTGGATGTGGTTTTGTATGAAATGAGAAGCTAAACGAAAGACACAAGGTCCAAATAAAAGAAGGTGAAAAACAGGTATTAAAGGACTAAGAATTGGGAGTACCCAGGACATCCAATTACAGAGTGTCCAAGAGGGTTCAGTGTAATTATTTGCTTGGTTGGCGAGTTTTTGGGCTGTATCCTTGAGTTTTTTTTTATGTTGTCATATACCAGGCCAGACTGATTTAGGTAAAAACAACACTCTTCATTTAAAAATATACAGAGTCCTCCTTTTTCAGCAGTGAGTAAATAGAGGCCTTGGAGGTTCTGAGGACAACTACAGCTAAAAGAGTCAATCTGTGCTTGGAGAACAGATGAAGTTTGTGATATATCTGTAATGCTAGCAGAGAAGTCATTAGAGAGGCTGTGGAATGTTGTGGCAGTGGTTGAGATGCCTGCTATTCCAGTTCCAAGTGCAATAGTGGAGGCAGAAAGTCCTAGACCCACAAGCAAAGGGATTAGTGGGATGACTCTTTCTTGTCGTGTTGATGTCATGAGGGGGACAGGCAGTAGTTTGTTCCCATCTGCAAACTGGATTTTGGGGGTAAGGAAGACTAGAGTGCATGTGCCTGTCCAGTTGGGAGGTAGGCACATGTAGGTGGAAGAGCCACATAAAAAGAAGAGACCTTGTGTCAGGCAGAACTGGAAATGTAAAGTGAAAAGGTGAGAGGGTGTACTGAAAGAGGAATCCTGCACCCCAAATCCTAGAGATCCAGCAAGGGCAGCAGCCGTTAGAGGTTGTAATGGGGGTTGATGGTGCGACTGCGTAAAGGGAGGGGTTCGGTTCTCATGGTGTATGAGAAAGCGCATAGTGTCTACAAGTAACCTTTCACTGCTATTCATGGGGCTGGGTATAAGCAAGCAAGAGGAGGGGCTAGGAGGAGATTCAGACGAGCAGGGGGAGGGTAGCCCAGGATGGAGTGAGATGCAGGGTATGTGTCTTCCTAAACAATAGTGACTGCCAATGTGTTTTAGTTTGTCAGTAATGGGCTTATCAGTAATGTGAAGTTGGAATGCTCCCATCTGTTTGGTTATGTGTGTGGCTGGGTTCTGGAGATAAAGAGTAAAGGAACATTTGGACAGAAGAAGGTTGCCTAAAGGGATTCCAGCAGGCTGTTGTCGGGAGAAGCATAAAGGAGTGGCAACAGGGATGGTTGTTTGTGTGGTCAGGGGTCCAAATATGGGGTGGGGGTGGAATTGACATAAGGAGAAAGGTGCCGTAAGTAGATGCGGAGAAGTGTGGCAGCTTGTTGGTGTGAAATGTCTGGGGAGTTCTCACCAAATCTGTCTAGAAAGTAAAGAATTTCCTCAGGCAGGTATAGATGAGGGCTATTAAAGGAGGTTCTGAGGTGCAGGGAGATGGAACAGGTAGCCAAGTTGGCCTGTAGAGCGGGGATGGCTGTGTAAAAGCAGGAAGAGGCCGGGCGCGGTAGCTCACGCCTGGAATCCCAGCACTTTGGGAGGCTGAGGCGGGTGGATCATGAGGTCAGGAGATCGAGACCATCCTGGCTAACACGGTGAAACCCCATCTCTACTAAAAATACAAAAAATTGGCCGGGCGTGGTAGCAGGCACCTGCAGTCCCAGCTACTTGGGAGGCTGAGGCAGGAGAATGGCATGAACCTGGGAGGCGGAGCTTGCAGTGAGCCAAGATTGCTGCCACTGCACTCCAGCCTGGGCGACAGAGCGAGACTCCGCTTCAAAAAAAAAAAAAAAAAAGCAGGAAGAAAGGGAAATGCATAGCCAACAATTCTTTGCTAGAGGAGGATTGGAGGATTGAAGGCAGTGAGAAGAGAGTGGGTGAGATTGATAGTGTGCTGGAGATGCTGGAGGTAACTAGGGAGGGGTAGAGAGTGGCATAAGAATGGGAATGAGAATAAGAGGGAGTATAAAAGCAAAGAATAGAACTTCATCAGGGTGGAAGTATTGGAGTGTGCCCTGCCACCAAAGATCATCTACCTGCTCCAAGAGGGAGTCAAGAGTGGTGGTTTGGGGATAGCACCAGGAGATAACAGCTGTGATGGCTTGGAGAAACAGTGTAAACCGGCAGTGTAAACAAGAGCAGGTCATTTATGAGTAGTTGAGAATACAGTAGGGATGACAAGTTTTTGGGGCACAGTCCAAATAGTGGGGGTGACTGCACAAAGCTCTGTTGCAAAGGGTAGGGTAAGGATGGATAGGCCTAATAGAATGAAGGGATGTATTAGGCTCATAAGGGTTATTATTGTTCTTCAGAAATGTGAGTGAGTTTAAGGGAAGTAGGGGAGAGTACTTGCGACTTCCAGGAGGAAGAGGATATATCAGGCTGTCTGGCTGACGGACACAGCTTTATTCTGGAATGGTGAACCCAATGGGGAGGGTCCTGCAGGCGGATCGTGGTTGGGGTACTATAGATGACTAAGTAGGGTCCAGTCCATCGAGGTTGTAGAGTTTGAGGGGTCAGATTCTTAACAAGAACTGATCATCCAGCTAGGGTGTCTTCATATGGCTGGGAATCTGGAGTAGGCAAGAGAAGATTAGCAGCCTGGTGAATTTCCTGTCTAGCCTGTTGGAGGACTGGAAGATAGTCACCTAGAGGGCTGGTGTCTGGGACGAGGTTGGGGCCGAGTAAGAAAGTGCGTCCATATAAAAGTTCAAATGGACTGTACCCTGTAGCATCTTGAGGACAGGCTCTAATTCTGAGAAGGGCAAGAGATAAAAGTACTGTACAGTCCTTTTTAAGTTGGAGGCTAAGCTTAGTGAGGCATGTCTTTAAAAGACCATTAGTCTGTTCTACCTTTCCTGAAGATTGGGGATGGTAAGGGGTATGAAGGTTCCACTGAATACCAAGAGCCTGAGAAACTGCTTGGGTGATTTGACTAATAAAGGCCGGTCCGTTATCGAACTGTATAGAGGTGGGAAGGCCAAACCGAGGAATTATGTCTGACAAAAGGGAAGAAATGACCGCGGTGGCCTCTCAGATCCTGTGGGAAAGGCCTCTACCCATCCAGTGAAAGTGTCTACCCAGACCAAGAGGTATTTTAGTTTCCTGACTTGGGGCATGTGAGTAAAGTCAATTTGCCAGTCCTGGGCAGGGCAAATCCTCGAGCTTGATGTGTAGGGAAGGGAGGGGTCTGAACAACCCCTGAGGGGTAGTTGAGTAGCAGATGGAACACTGAGAAGTGATTTCCTTGAGGATAGATTTCCACGATGGAAAGGAAATGAGAGGTTCTAAGAGGCAGGCTAGTGGCTTGTAACCTACATGGAAGAGGTTATGAAATGACGACAGAATAGAATGGGCCTGTGAGGCTGGAAGGAGATATTTTTCTTGGTCGAAGAACCATTCGCCTTGTGTGGGAAGAGATTGATAGGTGGAAACTTCAGTAGGAGAGTAAATAGGAGTGACCAATGAGAAGGAGAAAAACTGGCCATGAGGGACAGAAATTGGAATGCTAGCTGCTTCTTTAGCTGCCTTATCAGCATAAGCATTGCCCTGAGCAATGGGATCTGATGCCTTTTGATGGCCCTTGCAGTGTATGACTCCAGTTTCCTTTGGAAGTAAAGTGGCCTTGAGAAGAGTTTTTATTAAAGAGGCATTAATGATGGAAGACCCTTGCGTAGTAAAGAAACCTCTTTCAGCCTGTATAACAGCATGGTGGTGCAGGATCTGGAAGGCATATTTAGAGTCAGTATAAATATTGTCACGTAATTCCTTTGCAAGAGTGAGGGCTCAAGTTAAGGCAATGAGTTCGGCTTGCTGAGAGATAGTGGAGGGGCAGAGCGGTAGCCTCAACGATAGATGTGGAAGATACTATAGCATAGCCTGCCTTTGCTGGTGAGTGGCAATTAGGCCTGGTGGAACTGCCATTAATAAACCAAATGTGATCAGGGTGAGGAACAGGAAAGAAGGAAATATGGGGAAATGGGGTGAATGTCAGGTGGATCAGAGAGATATAGTCATGGGGGTCAGGTGTGGTATCAGGAATAACATGGGAGGCCGGATTGAAGTCTGGGCTAGGAACAATGGTAACTGTGGGAGACTCGACAAAGAGTGAGTACAGCTGAAGGAGCCGGGGAGCAGAAAGTATACGTGTCAGGTGTGAGGAAGAAAATAGATTTTGGAAGTTATGAGAACTGTAGAGAGTGAGTTGAGCATAGTTTGTGATTTTGAGGGCCTCTAAAAGTATTAGGGTGGCGGCGGCCGCTGCACGGAGACATGATGGCCAGCCTAAAACAATAAGATCAAGTTGTTTGGGCAAAAAGGCTACAGGGCGGGTCCCGGCTCTTGTGTAAGAATTCTGGCCACACAGCCCTGTACTTTGGCTGTGTGTAATGAAAGGGTTGGGATGAGTTAGGGAGAGCTAGTGCGGGAGCAGCTTTTAGGGCTGTTTTTTAAGGAATGGAAAGGGGAGTGGGGAAAGGATTTAGGATTTATGGGGTCAGCCAGGTTTATCTAGAACAGAAGGTGTTGTGGAGGGAGGTACTGAGGATAGGAGAGTATATGGGTTTGGCACCATGGGGTGGATAGGCAAGGCAATTTCATTGATAAGGCGCAGATCCTGAACTAACCTGTAAGACTTGTCTGGTTTTTGAACAGGTAAAATGGGAGAATTGTAAAGAGAGCTTATAGGTTGTAGAAGCCCATGCTGTAGCAGGCGAGTGATAACAGGTTTAATCCCCTTAAAGCCTGCTGTGGGATGGGATACTGGCATTGAGTGGGGTAAGGGTGATTAGGTTTTAATGGGATAGTAATGGGCGTGTGATCAGTTGCCAGGGAGGGAGTGGAGGTATCCCATACTTGTGGGTTAAGGTTGGGGGATACGAGAGGAAGACATGAAGGAGGCTTTGGGTTGGGAAGAAGGGTGGCAATGAGATGTGGCTGTAGTCCAGGAATAATCAGGGAAGCAGATAATTTGGTTAAAATGTCTTGGCCTAATAAGGGAACTGGGCAGGTGGGGATAACTGAAAAAAGAGTGCATAAAAGAATGTTGTCCAAGTTGGCACCAGAGTGGGGGAATTTTAAGAGGTTTTGAAGCTTCGCCGGCAATACCCACAACAGTTATGGGGGCAAGGGAAACAGGCCCTTGAAAAGAAGATAATGTGGAGTGGGTAGCCCCCATATTGATTAAACAGGGGACGGACGTACTCTCTTCTGTAAGTGTTACCGAGGCTTGGCGTCTGGGATGGTCCAGGGGGCTTCTGAGGCGATTGGGCAGCGTCAGTCTTCAGCTGCTAAGCCGAGGAGATCTGGGAAGGAGTCGGCCAAGGAACATTGGGTTTGGGCTCCAGGGGCTTTAGGAGTGGCAGTGATGTGAGTCGGACAGTCCGACCTCCAGTGGGGGCCCGCACAGACAGGGCATGGCTTAGGAGGAATCCCAGGCTGTGGGCATTCTGAGGCCCAGTGGCCAGGCTTTTGGCATTTGAAGCAAGGTCCACGAGGATGTTTTGAAGAACCCCTGGGAGCTGTGGCTTGGATGTCCTGAAGTTCTTGTATGCTGGAGACGTGGTTGTGGGTTGTCTTCCAGAGGAGTCAAGTAGCTGTAACTCAGAAATGTGTTGCTGTCTGGCTACCTCCTCTCTATTATTGTGCACCTTGAAGGCGAGGTTGATTAATTCCTGTTGTGGGATTTGAGGGCCGGGTTCCAATTTTTGAAGCTTTTTTCTCATGTCAGGAGCTGACTGGGTGATAAAACGTATATTGAGAATAAGGCGGCCTTCTGGCCCCTGTGGGTCTAGGGCGGTAAAGCGTCTAAGGGTAGCTGCCAAGCGGGCCATGACCTGGGCTGGGTTTTCGTCTTTACCTCGGGTAGTTTCCTTAAGTTCGTCATAATTACCAGCTTTGTAAGCTGCCTTTTTAAGCCCTTCAACTAGGCAGGAAACCATGTAATCTTGCCCAGCTGTACCTGGGGAATCTGCCTGATAGTTCCACTGGGGATCCTCTCGGGGAACTGCTCTAATGCCTTCCAGGAGGTCTGGCTCATGAAGCCGGCGGTTATCAGCACGAGACTGGGCTAGAGAAAAACTTTCCCGTTCATCTGGGGAGGGGTAGAAATTAGGATGACACTTCAGTCACTCCAGGTTAACTTGTAGGACAGAGTTAGATATCGGAATTCCTGTGCACATTTAGTGGGGTCTGATGAGAAAGAGCCTAAACGCTGGCTGATTTGGGAAAGGTCCGATAGAGAAAAAGGCATATGTACCCTGACTATGCCTTCAGCTCCAGCCACGTCTCTAAGAGGAAATTGTTGGGCAGGTGGGGGAGAGCTGGTCACAGAACGAAACCGTAAACTAGACCGGGTGTGGGGAGGGAGGTAATAGAAGGGTTATAGGGTGGGGGAGCAGAGGCTGAAGAAGAGTTGGAGGCTGATTAGCCTGGCGGGGAGCGAGCTGAGGAGGAGCAGTCTGGGGAGGAGGTGAGGGGTCAGATGGCTCAGTAGAAAAGAAAGATTCACAAGACTCAGTGATGCTTGGGGTTGAGACTTAAGGGATAGGCGGGAGGGAAAGAAGGAGGATTTGGGACTAGTCGCACTGGAAACAGACACTAGAGAGGGAACGAAGCGTGAGAAATGCCTGGATGTAAGGCACCTCAGATCATTTGCCCATTTTTCGACAAAAATTAGGTCTCGGATGGAGAAATCAAAAGTGCCATTTTCTGGCCATTTAGAACCATTATCGAGTTTGTATTGGGGCCAAGCGGTATTGCAGAAGAAAATAGGACGCTTAGATTTTAGGTCAGGTGAGAGTTGAAGAGGTTTTAAGTTCTTGAAAACACAGGCTAAGGGAGAAGAAGGAGGAATGGAGGGTGGAAGGTTGCCCATAGTGAAGGAGGCAAGTTTAAAGAGAAGTGTAGAGGCCGGGCGCGGTGGCTCACACCTGTAGTCCCAGCACTTTGGGAGGCTGAGGCAGGCGGATCCTGAGGTCAGGAGATTGAGACCATCCTGGCTAACACAGTGAAACCCCATCTCTACTAAAAATACAAAATAAAAATTAGTCAGGCATGGTGGTGGGTGCCTGTAGTCCCAGCTACTCGGGAGGCTGAGGCAGGAGAATGGCGTGAACCCGGGAGGCGGAGCTTGCAGTGAGCTGAGATGGAGCCACTGCACTCCAGCCTGGGCCACAGAGTGAGACTGCGTCTCAAAAAAAAAAAAAAAAGAGAGAGAAGGGTGGGAAGGGTAGAGACACGGAGAAGCGGGGTGGGGAGCAGCCCTGGGCTGCAATGTGGGTGAGCAGCCAAAGCAGGCATCCCTTCAGTTGACTTGCCACCAAGGGAATGTGGGTGAATGACCAAGGCAGGCATCCCTGCAGTGATCAGACACCAGTGGAATGTGGGTGAATAATCAGGCAGGCGTCCCCACAATGATTAAACACCAAGGGAAGGCTGTCTTCCCAAGTCCGTGACTGGCACCAGAGTTTTCGGTCCACCGATAAAATGTGTCTCCTTTGTCTCTACTAGAGGAGAAAAAGAACTGGAATTGGAAGGACAGGGGGATTGAAGCGTAGTGAGAGAGGCTGGAGAAGAGAGTGAAAAGACCGCTTACCCAATTTGAAATTGGTGAGATGTTCCTTGGGCTGGTTGGTCTGAGGACCTGAGGTCATAGGTGGATCTCTTCACGGAGTGAAGGTGAGGACAAGGGACTGGTCTCCTGAAGGAGTCCCTCTGACCCAGGTCTTTGGCACCAAATGTCTCACGCATTCGTGTGAAGAGACCACCAAACAGGCTTTGTGTGAGCAACAAGGCTGTTTATTTCACCTGGGTGCAGGCGGGCTGAGTCTGAAAAGAGAGTCTGCAAAGGGCGGTGGGATTATCATTGGTTCTTAGAGGTTTTGGGATGGGCGGTGGAGTTAGGAGCAATGTTTTGTGGGCAGGGGGTGGATCTCACAAAGAACATTCTCAAGGGTGGGGAGAATTACAAAGAACCTTCTTAAGGGTCGGGGAGATTATAAAGAACCTTCTTAAGGGTGGGGGAGATTACAAAGTACATTGATCAGTTAGGGTGGGGCAGAAACAAATCACAATTTTGGAATGTCATCAGTTAAGGCTATTTTCACCTCTTTTGTGGATCTTCAGTTGCTTCAGGCCATCTGGATGTATACGTGCAGGTGGCAGGGGATATGATGGCTTAGCTTGGGCTCAGAGGCCTGACAGGTGGGTGCAGTGGCTCATGCCTATAATCCCAGCAGTTTGGGAGGCTGAGGCGGTCAGATCACCTGAGGTCTGGAGTTCGAGACCAGCCTGGTCAACGTGGCAAAACCCTGTCTCTACTAAAAATGCAAAAAATAGCTGGGTGTAGTGGCACGCACCTGTAGTCCCAGCCAGTCAGGAGGCTGAGGCAGGAGAATTGCTTGAACCTGGGAGGCGGAGGTTGTAGTGAGCTGAGATCGTGCCACTGCACACCAGACTGGGTGACAGAGTGAAACTCCGTCTCAAAAAAGAAAAAAAAAAAAAAAAATTGGCCGGGCGCGGTGACTCAAAACTGTAATCCTAGCACTTTGGGAGGCCAAGGCGAGTGGATCACAAGGTCAGAAGATCGAGACCATCCTGGCCAACATGGTGAAATTCCATCTCTACTTAAAATACAAAAATTAGCTGGGCATGGTGGCTATGGTCTCTTTTGGTAAATACCAAATTTAGGAAGCATGTATTAGGTGAAATATTCTACAAATATCAATCAGATTAATTGGTTATGATATTTTTAGTTCTGTATCTTTGCTGATTTTCTGTTCTATTGATTACTGAGAGGAGGGTTAAGCTCTCCACTTATAATTGTGGATTTATCCATTTCTCATTTCAGTTTTATCAGTTTGTCTTCAGATTTTTTATTTTTATTTTTATTTAAGTTTTTGCTCTGTCACTCAGGCTGGAGTGCAGTGGTGTGATCACGACTCACTGTAGCCCTGACCTCTGGGGCTCAAGCCATCCTCTTACCTCAGCTTCCTGAGTAGCTGGGACCACAGGTGTCTGCCACCATGCCTGGCTAATTTTTTTTATTATTTGTAGAGACAGAGTCTCACTATGCTGCCCAGGTTGGTCTCGAACTCCTAGGCTCAAGCAATCCTCCTGCCTTGGCCTCCTAAATTGCTGGATTACAGTTGTGAGCCACTGTCCCCGGCCTTCTTCAGATGTTTTGAAGCTCTGTTAAGTGCACACACATTTAGGATGGCTTTGTCATCTTGGTGACCCTTTTATCATTTGCATGAACAGTGAAGGGTGTGGCATTTTACCCTGCTTGTAAGCTAATAAGTCAGTCTGCCAGTTTCATAGATGCTAACAAAAGACATAGATTGCGGGAACAATGACACAGGACCTTATCACCTACAAGAGCAGTGGCCATGGTAGTCACGTCTGCATCAGCTCCTTGAGCTTCATTTTCAAAAGGATGATGTGAAAGGGACCAGATGGCACCTGCACATGTCGGAGGATGCACTGTGGGACCGTGGGAGAGGATCTCTGAGGTTAGGAATCCACATCTTTAAGAATGGGAGATGGGCCGGGTGCAGTGGCTCACGCCTGTAATCCCAGCACTTTGGGAGTCCAAGGTGGGTGGATTACGAGGTCAGGAGTTCAAGATCATCCTGGCCAACAGGGTGAAACCCCGTCTCTACTAAAAAATACAAAAAATTAGCCAGGTGTGGTGGCGCATGCCTGTAGTCCTAGCTACTCAGGAGGCTGAGGCAGGAGAATCGCTTGAACCTGGGAGGCGGAGGTTGCAGTGACCCGAGATCATGCCACTACTGTACTCCAGCCTAGTGACAGAGCAAGACCCCGTCTCAAAAAAAAAAGGGAGCTGAGCCTTCCTGAGTTTTTCCCCAAAGGGAGAAGTTGTCTTTATTATGCTGGATGGAAAACAAACCCGCCCTTCGCTCCAGAGAGAGGCCTATTTCTATTTCCAGTGCTGTTGACTATATAGATATCCTTGAAAAGATACTCTAGATCCAAGGCAGTCATTGCCTCTGCTCATAAAACATTTAGAAATGTGAGAACTTTTGGAGAATATCTTTCAACAATAACATCTCTCTTTATCACTGGTCATTTCTTTTGCTCTGAAGTCTCCTTTGTCTGATATTAACATAGCTACTCCACTTTCTCTTGGTTAGTGTTTGTATGACATGTCTGTTTCCATCCTATTTTATTTATTTATTTATTTATTTATTTATTTATTTATTTTGAGACGGAGTCTCGCTCTGTCGCCAAGGCTGGAGTGCAGTGGCGCGGTCTCAGCTCACTGCAACTTCCGCCTCCCAGGTTCATGCCATTCTCCTGCCTCAGCCTCCCGAGTAGCTGGGACTACAGGCGCCCGCCGCCACATCCGGCTAATTTTGTTTTTGTATTTTTAGTAGAGACGGGGTTTCACCGTGTTAGCCAGGATGGTCTGGATCTCCTGACCTCGTGATACGCCCGCCTCGGCCTTCCAAAGTGCTGGGATACCAGGCGTGAGCCACCGCGCCCAGCCTCCATCCTTTTATTTTTAAACTCCCTGTATAATTATATTTAAGGTGGATTGTGTGTGTATTGTTTGGTTTTGTAGACAGCATATAGTTCGGTACTTTTTTTTTTAATTCACTCTGAAAATCTCTTTCACTTGGTATGTTTAGATCAGGGTCAGCAAACTATGTGGGTCGAATCTGGCCAGCTGCCTGTCTTGTAAATAAAGTTTTATTAAAACATAGCCATGCTCATTTATCTATTTTCTTTTTTGAGACGGAGTCTCACTTTGTTGCCCAGGCTGGAGTGCAGTGGCTCGATCTCGGCTCACTACACCCTCCGCCTCCTGGATTCAGGTGATTCTCCTGCCTCAGCCTCCTAAGTAGCTGGAATTACAGGTGCCCACCACCATGCCTGGCTAATTTTTGTATTTTTAGTAGAGATAGGGTTTGACCATGTTGGCCAGGCTGGTCTTGGACTACTGACCTCAAGTGATCGGCCTGCCTCGGCCTCCCAAAGTGTTGGGATTACAGACACCATGCCCGGCTCATTTATGTATTTTCTGTGGCTACTTTTCTGCTCCAAAAGCAGAGTTGTGTGGTTGCAACAGAGACCATATGGCTGACAAGTTCAAAAATATTTACTACCTGGACTTTTACTGACCCCTGGTTTATATCATTTACGTTGAATGTAGTTATTGATAGGTTTGGATTCAGATTTTTATTTCCTTTTCAGATTTTTATTTTATTTCTTTTCGGTTTATTTCCTCTAGTCTTTATTTCTTTATTATCCCTTTCCTGCCGTGGTTTAGATTATTTGAACATTTTTAGTTTTCCATCTGAATTGAACTCTAGAGTTTTAGTTATGTATGTATGTTTTAGTGGTTGCTCTAGAGATTACAATGTACATACTTAACATTTCCCAGTCTAATTAGAATTAGTATTTTGTCATGTCAAGTGGAATGTAGAAACCTTATCACCACGTAGATCTTTTTATTCTTCCTCCTTTGTGTTTGAATATCTCTATTCATTTAGGGCTTTCATTTCTCTCAGAAATGTTTTGCAATGTTTAGCATAGGGATTGGGCACATTTTTTTCTTAGGTTTTTTTTTTTTAAGGTATTATAATTTGTTCCTAGATATTTATATGTTTGATATTATACGTGGTATTAAAATTTTTTTCATTTAAAAAATTTTTTGAGGCCAGGCACTATGGATCATGCCTGTAATCCCGGTACTTTGGGAGGCCGAGGCAGGTGGATCATCTGAAGTCAGGAGTTCGAGACTAGCCTGGCCAACATGGTGAAACCCCTTCTCTACTGAAAATACAAAAATTAGCCGGGCGTGGTGGTGGGCACCTGTAATCCCAGCTACTTGGGAGGCTGAGGCAGGAGAATCGCTTGAACTCGGGAGGCGGAGGTTGCAGTGAGCTAAGATCGTGCCATTGCACTCTAGCCTGGATGACAAGAGCAAAACTATGTCTCAAAAAAAATTTTTTTTGTTGATATATGGTAATATTATTGATGTTTGTGTACTGACCTTGTAGCCTATGACTTTGCTGAATATATTTATTAATTCTCATTGTGGTTTATTTTATATTTTCTAAGTTTGTAGTCACGTTATTTACAAATAAATATACTTCTTCCTGTCCAATCTTTAGACCTTTCTTTTGTACAGGAGGAAAAATTGCTTCCTTCTTCATTTCTAGGTTCTGTGGCTGGTCTAAGAATTAATTATTATTATTATTATTTTTTGAGATGGAGTCTCGCTCTGTCGCCCAGGCTGGAGTGCAGTGGCAGCAATCTCGGCTCACTGCAAGCTCCGCCTCCCAGGTTCACGCCATTCTCCTTCCTCAGCCTCCCGAATAGCTGGGACTACAGGCGCCTGCCACCATGCCCGGCTAATTTTTTTTTTTGTATTTTTAGTAGAGACAGGGTTTCACCATGTTGGCCAGGATGGTCTCGATCTCCTGACCTCGTGATCTGCCTGCCTCGGCCTCCCAAAGTGCTGGGATTACAGGTGTGAGCCACCGTGCCTGGCCTCCTGTTTTTTTGTTTGTTTGTTTGTTTGTTTTTGAGACAGAGTTTCACTCTCGTTGCCCAGGCTGGAGTGCAATGGCGCTATCCCAGCTCACCGCAACCTCCACCTCCCGGGTTCAAGCAATTCTCCTGCCTCAGCCTCCCCACTAGCTGGGATTACAGGCATGTGCCACCATGCCCGGCTAATTTTGTATTTTTAGTAGAGACGAGGTTTCTCCATGTTGGTCAGGCTGGCCTCAAACTCCCGACCTCAGGTGATCCGCCTGCCTCGGCCTCCCAAAGTGCTGGGATTACAGGTATGAGCCACTGTGCCCCGCAATTTTTTTTTTTTCTTAATGGATAAGAGGTTTTTTTTCCCCTATTAACATCAATGTAATTCCTGTGTGTGTGTGAGAGATCTCAGAAAGGGAGAGAGAGTGCCAAGGTCTTGCTCTGTCACCCAGGATGGAGTGCAGTGGCACGATCTCAGCTCACTGCAACCTCTGCCTCCTGGGCTCAAGTGATCCTCCCAACTCAGCCGCCTGTGTAGCTGGGACTACAGGCATATGCCTAATTAATTTTTATATTTTTAGTAGAGACAAGGTTTTGCCATATTGTCCAGGCTGGTCTCGAACTCCTAGACTCAAGTAATCTGCCCACCTCGGCCTCCCAAGGTGCTGGGATTACAGGCATGAGCCACCACACCCAGCCTGGTTCCTCCCCTTTTAAACCATATAAAGTAACTTCTGGGTTTGCCATGGCATTTGTAAACTGTCATGGTGCCAGTGAGAGTGTCTTTTAGCATGCTAGTGCATTATAATTAATGTATAACAAGCACTGAGAGCAACTAGAGGTTTTGCAGTTTCTTTACGGCATCCTCAGAAAACAAGTCCTGCTGACCTCATACCTTAGGAATGCCATCTCTGCATTTCCAAAGGCGTCAGTGTAGTCTTTTGTAGGCTGCAGTCTTTTGTAGGCAAGGGATAGGCAGATGCTCCTAAACTATAAATGCCTGTGCGCGTATTAAAAACAGATACTTCTTTGGTGAGACTACTGAAAAAACAGTGCTCTTTGATCTGGACTATTGTAGACCTTCTCTTACCTAATACACTCCACCTGGGGAGATACATTCCTTCATCTGTTTTTTGTTAAAGGCTTTTAATAACTTTTAGTAAAACTACCCAATATATGCATGGAAGAAACCTGCAATTTCACCCCTAAATACATAAAAATAAATTTTTTAAAAAAGTTATTGAGGCCAGGTGTGGTAGCTCATGCCTGTAATTGTAGCACTTTGGGAGGCCAAGACAGGAGAATTGCTTGAGCCCAGGAGCTTGAGAGCAGCTTGGGCAACATGATGAGACCCCCGTCTCTACAAAAAAAAAAAAAAAAAAAAAATTAGCCAGGCATGGTGGCACGTGTCTGTGGTCCTAGCTACTCAGGAGGCTAAGGTGGGAGGATCACTTGAGCCCAGGAGGTCAAGGCTGCAGTGAGCTGTGATCATGTCACTGCATTCCAGCTTGAGTGAAAGAGCAAGACCCCCATCTCAAAAACAAAACAAAAAACTTTTGGTAATGAACTATAAACGACCCTAATAGGAAAAACACATTAAGTCATTACCAGCTTGTAACACCATTCTGTGACTTCATTGACACGTTATTATGTATTTGTCACTTAGCTTTCTAATGACCCTGCACAATTTTGTTGGCAGAACAGGTGGAGAGGTATGAAGAACGAGGAACACTGCCCGGGGAGTTTCTTCCTCTGCAAAATAAGGGAGTGTGTACTGAATTACCGTTTCCAGCTCCAACATCCAGGATTTCAGCACTACCTGCAGAGTAGTGGGAGGAGAGATAGGTAAGAAGTTAAAAAGAGACCTGATGGAATACGTGGCATCCTGGTACTGCTGGGGTCCATCCCCACACCTCATGCTCATGAGAGGGAGACAAGCTTCTTGGAGCTCCTCCTCATCTACAGGGCTCTCCTCACAGGGCCTGGAAGTTCTGCCCCAGCCCTGTGGGGATTTTCTAGAGTCATTTGCCTCTCTTTAAAGCCTTGGCAGAGGGAGCCGGTGTGGGGAAGGGGTGGTAACGTAGATGGCAATGCTTGTCAGAACATATTAGAGCCCTCTTCCACGCTCTGCAGCCCCTGGGCCTAGGGCTAGCATTATTCTCCCCTTTTATAGCCATCTGTTGATTTCACCTTATCTCGCACTAAGCAATGGGCTTCTTGTGGGCAGGTGCTCTCTCTCACCCATCTTATTTCTCTCTGGCTCTTTCACGGGGCCTGCTGCATGGTAAGCGCTCAGTGTTCAGTGAGTGAATGGACAGGAAGGGGCAGGGAAGTGAATCAAATCTCCTCAGGTTGAGACATCAGCACCATCTGTGATCCTTTCCTCATTTGGACCTTCACATGCAATTAGGCTCTAAAATCCAGTGAGTTTTTTTTTTTTTCTTTTTGACGGAGTCTTGCTGTTGCCCAGGTTGGAGTGCAGTGGCGTGATCCCAGCTCACTGCAACTTCCACCTCCCAAGTTCAAGTGATTCTCCTGCCTCAGCCTCCCGAGGAGCTGTGATTACAGGCGCCCACCACCATGCCTGGCTCCTTTTTATAGTTTTAGTAGAGATGGGGTTTCGTCATGTTGCCCAGGATGGTCTCGATCTCCTGACCTCAGGTGATCTGCCTGCCTCAGCCTCCCAAAGTGCTGGGATTACAGGCGTGAGCCACTGCGCCCGGTCCTAAAATCTGGTGATTTTTATTTCCCTGTGTCTGTTTCTACGGCTGCCTCCCTAAGTTCTTTCTCTGTTGGGTAGTGGGCTTCGGCCTAGCTTTCTCATCACCGCCACACCCTTCCTTACCCATCCTGTACAGACAGATAGATTTTTCTAATGTACATTTTCAGCATATCTCTGGGCTGCTCAGACCATTTCCTCAACTCGACACCCAAATTAATCAGCTCACTCTTCCATGTTTTACCATCCTATCCGTCCTTCTAATAAATACATCCTGAGCTTCTGGGGAGGAGGTCTCATCTCAGATTCTCTGCCCAAGCCAGATGGTTTCAACATAGTCCTGCCTCTGAGCCCTTATGCAAGCCATCTCCCTGCCTGTCCCAACTACTTGCTTCTATCCAGAGCTTGGTAAGCCCACTTCTCCCAGAGAAGCCTCCTGGGGTCATCCCAGGCCACTTCGAATTTTCTCTTTGGTAGCACTTGGTCACAGCAACCTTGGGCACCAAGCTGAGTATAGAATGGAGTCCAATCAATGTTGATATGATTTTTAAATGGTGGCGACAGTCATGTGCCATCTGAAGCAGGAATAGGGAAAGAGAAGCAGTGACTAGCCTATACAAATTAGCCAGGCGTGGTGGCAGGCGCCTGTAATCCCAGCTACTCAGGAGGCTGAGGCAGGAGAATCGCTTGAACCTGGGAGGTGGCGGTTGCAGTGAGGCGAGATTGAGCCACTGCACTCCAGCCTGGGTGACACAGCAAGACTCCATCTCAGAAAAAAAAACCACTCTGGGAGGCCAAGGCAGGTGGATCACGAGGTCAGTAGTTCAAGACCAACCTGGCCAACATGGTGAAACCCCGTCGCTACTAAAAATACAAAAATTAGCCGGGCACGGTGGCGGGCGCCTGTAATCCCAGCTACTCGGGAAGCTGAGGCAGAGAATTGCATGAACCCGGGAGGCGGAGGCCGCAATGAGCTGAGATCACGTCACTGCACTCTAGCCTAGGCAGCAGAGCCAGACTCCGACTGAAAAAAAAAGAGTCTACAGAGCCTTTCTTGGAAACTAGTGTGGAAAGAGAAGAGCAGCATGAAAAGCCGAGGCCCTGACAGCCTGATGTCCCGCTCCCTCCTTCACAGCTCTGTGCCCAGGGCCTGCCTGATGTGCAGTGCTGCAGAGAATCCAGCACACTCTGCTCATGTATGTGCCCGGGCATGTTTTCTTTCTTGGCTACCTCTTTAGTCATTTGTTATGTGTTATGAAGAAATAAACTCCCAGCAAAATAATGTCTTTTGCACAGTCTTAAAGTGATCCATTACCTAAGATCATCATAGATGATTGTGAATTGGGTTGACCTGAAATCACCTAAGACCAGGGCAGGTTGACCAGAGATGAAGATGGAACATGGTATGTTGGGAACTGTTGAGTACTGTGCCCTTCTTACTAGGGCATGTAGTTTAAGTACTGTGAAACTCAAAACATTTTATTTTTCTTATTGCAAAAGTGATACAGAATTGTTCTAAAGCGTTTAGAAAATACAGACAAGCAAAAATAAAAATCTGCCATAATTCCACCATATTCTAGAGTATATCTTTTATTCTTATTTATTTATTTATTTATTTGAGATGGAGTTTCATTTTTGTCACCCAGGCTGGAGTGCAATGGCATGATCTCGGCTCACTGCAACCTCCACCTCCTGGGCTCAAGCGATTCTCCTGCCTCAGCCTCCTGAGTAGCTGGGATTACAGGCACCTGCCACCATGCCCGGCTAATTTTTTGTATTTTTTTTAAGTAGAGATGGGGGTTTCGCCATGTTGGCCAGGCTGGTCTCCAACTCCTGACCTCAGGTAATCCAACCGCCTCAAAAAAAAAAAAAATTCAATATTATTATTGATAAGTAGGGATTTACTCCTACCATTTTGTTATTTGTTTTCTGGTTGTTTTGCCATCTTCTCTTCCTTCTTTCCTTCCTGTCTTTCTTTTAGTGCAGGTGATTTTCTCTGGTGATGTGCTTCATTTTTTTGCTTTTTACTTTTTGTATATCCATTGTATGTTTTTTGATTTGAAGTTACCATGAGGCTTGCAAATACTATCTTATAGCCCATTATTTTAAACTGATGACAACACTTACTGCATAAACAAACATGCAAATAAATACTAATATAAACTCTACAGTTTAGGCTGGGCACGGTGGCTCACGCCTGTAATCCCATCACTTTGGGAGGCTGAGGTGGGTGGATCACGAGGTCAGGAGTTCAAGACCATCCTGGCCAACATGGTGAAACTTCGTCTCTACTAAAAATACAAAAATTAGCCAGGTGTGGTGGCATGTGCCTGTAATCCCAGCTACTCAGGAGGCTGAGGCTGGAGAATCGCTTGAACCTGGGAGGTGGAGGTTGCAGTGAGCCGAGATCATGCCACTGCATTCCAGCCTGGGTGACAGAGCGAGACTCCATCTCAAAAAAAAAAAAAGAAAAACTCTACAGTTTAACTTCATCCCCCTGCTTTTTTTTTTTTTTTTTTTTTGAGACAGAGTCTTGCACGGTTGCCCAGGCTGGTGTGCGGTGCTGCGATCTTGGCTTGCTGCAACTTCTGCCTTCTGGGTTCAAATGATTCTCCTGCCTCAGCCTCCTGAGTAACTAGGATTACAGGTGCCCGCCACCATACCTGGCTACTTTTTGTATTTTTAGTAGAGATGGGGTTTCACTGTGTTGTCCAGGCTGGTCTCGACCTCCTGACATCGAGATCTGCCTGCCTCGGCCTCCCAAAGTGCTGGGATTACAGGTGTGAGCCCCCATGCCTGGCCATCCCCCTGCTTTTTAACTTTTTGTTATTTTCCTTTATGGCTTATTGTACTGTCTATGCCTTGAAAAGTTGTAGTTATTTTTGATTGGTTCATCATTTGGTCTTTCTACTTAAGATGAGTAGTTTATGCATCACAATTTCAGCGTTATATTATTCTGTTTTTCTATGTGCCTACTATTCCCAGTGAGTTTTGTACCTTCAGATGATTCCTTTTGCTCATTAATGTCTTTTTTGATTGAAGAAATCCCTTTAGCATTTGTTACAGGACAAGTATGGTGTTGATGTAATCCCTCAGCTTTTGTTTGTCTGTGAATGTCTTTACTTCTCCTTCATGCTCGAAGGATATTTTCACTGGATATACTATTATAAAAAATTTTTCCTGGCCAGGTGCAGTGGCTCATGCCTGTAATCCCAGCACTTTGGGAGGCCGAGGTGGGCAGATCACGAGGTCAGGAGATTGAGACCATCCTGGCTAACATGGCGAAACCCCGTCTCTACTAAAAAAAAATACAAAAAAAAAATTAGCCGGGCGTGGTGGCGGGTGTCTGTAGTCTCAGCTACTCGGGAGGCTGAGGCAGGAGAATGGCGTGAACCTGGGAGGTGGAGCTGGCAGTGAGCCGAGATCGCACCACTGCACTCCAGCCTGGGCAACACAGTGAGACTCCATCTCAAAAAAAAAAATTTTTTTTTCCTTTAGCACTTTAAATATGTCATGCCATTCTCCCCTGACCTGTAATGTTTCCACTGAAAAGTCTGCTGCCAGACTGGAGCTCCACTGTATGTTACTGTTTTTTTTTTTGTAGTTGTTGTTTGTTTGTTTTTCTTGCTTCTTTTAGGATCCTTTCTTTATCCTTGATCTTTGGGAGTTAGATTATTAAATACCTTGAAGTAGTCTTCTTTTGGTTAAATCTGCTTGGTGTTCTGTAACCTTCTTGTATTTGAATGTTCTTTCTGTAGGTTTGGGAAGTTCTCTGATACTATCCCTTTGAATAAACATTCTACCACTAGCTCTTCCTCTACCTCCTCTTCAAGGCCTATAACAGATTTGCCCTTTTGAGGCTATTTTCTAGATCTGGTAGGCATGCCTCATTGTTTTTATTCTTTTTTTTTTTTTTGAGACAGAGTCTCACTCTGTCACCCAGGCTGGAGTGCAGTGGCACGATCTCAGCTCACTGCAACCTCCGCCTCCCAGGTTCAAGCGATCCCCCTGCCTCAGCCTCCGGAGTAGCTGGAACTACAGGCATGTGCCACCATGCCCCCGGCTAATTTTTGTATTTTTAGTAGAGATGGAGTTTCACCATGTTGGCCAGGCTAGTCTCAAACTCTTGACCTCATGATCCGCCCACCTCGGCCTCCCAAAGTGCTGGGATTACAGGCAGGAGCCACTGCAACTGGCCTTTTATTCTGTTTTCTTTTGTCTCTGTGTTATCTGACTGTGTATTTTCAAATAGCCTGTCTTCAAGCTCACTAATTCTTCTGCTTGATCAATTCTGCTATTAAGAGACGGACGCATTCTTCAGCATGTCAATTGCATTTTTCAACTCTAGAATTTCTCGATTCTTTTAAATTATTTCATTCTCTTTGTTAAATTTATCTGATAGAATTCTGAATTCCTTCTCTGTGTTATTTTGAATTTCTTTGTTTCCTCAAAACAGCTATTTTGAATTCTGTCTTTAAGGTCATATTTCTCTGTTTATTCAGGATTGGTCCCTGCTGACTTACATAGTTCATGTGGGGAGGTTGTGTTTTCCTGGATGGTGCAGATGCTTGCAGATGTTCGTTGGTGTCTGCATTGGAGAATTAGGTATTTATTGTAGTCTTCACAATCTGGGCTTGTTTGTGCCCATCCTCCTTGGGAAGGCTTCCCAGTTATTTGAAGGGACTTAGGCCCCAAGCCCAATAATGTAGTTGTTTTTGCAGACTCAGAAAGATCCCACCTTGGTGGTCCTGGATAAAATCCAGAAAAATTCTCTGGATTACCAGGCAGAGACTCTTCTTCTTTTCCCTTATTTTTTGCCAAACACATGGGTTTCTCACTCTGTGATGAGCCACTTGGAATTGGGAGTGTGGTGATGCAAGCACCCCCGTGGCCATCACCACTGGGACTGCACTGGGTCAGACCTGAAGTCAGCACAGCACCGGGCCTTCCCAAGACCCTTCCCTTCAGGGCAGCGAGTTCCCCCAGGCCCTGGGCATGTCCAGAGATGCTGTCTGGGAGCCAGGGATAGCAATAAAAAACCTTAGCAATTTACTTGATGTTCTAGTCTACTGTGGCTAAGCTGGCACTCAAACCACAATACAAAGTCCTTCTCACGTTTCCCTGCCCTTTCCACAGGGAGAGGAGCCTCTCCATGTGGCCACCACCACCACTGGTCCACAGTGGGTTCTGCCAGGCAACCGCTGATGTTCACCTAAAGCCCAAGGACTCATCTGTCAGCTTGTGGTGAATGTTACCAGGCCTGGGACTCACCCTTCAGGGCAGTGGGTACCCCTCTGGCCCAGGGCAGGTCCAGAAATGTCCAAGCGCCTAGGCTTGGACTTGGAGACTCCAGGAGCCTGCTTGTTGCTCTACCTCACTGTGGCCTAGGTGGTACCTAGGAGCACAGAGCACTTCAGCCCACGGTGGTGGAGCCTGCCGAGAAACTCAGGTTCCAGCCGTTGGGATGGGCAGTTCCCCCCTGGCTAGGGCTGGTGCAAATGTTCCCTCCATGCACAGGCACTGGCTGAGTCCAGCGCAGCTTTATTCTCTTCTGTGACATGGCAGCACTGAGTTCAGTGTGAAGTCCCCTAGTTGCTGTGCTCTCCCTTTCCCAAAGTGCACAGATCATCTCTCTGTTCCATATGGCTGCTGCCGGGGGTGGGAGAGGGGTGGCGTCAGTGATTCAAGACTGTCTCTCTGAGCCTCTTCAATGGCCCTTTTAGCGATATGAGGTTAAAACCAGGTACTGTGATCGCTTACCTGACTTTTGGTTCTTGTGACGGTGCTTTTTTGCAAGCAGACAGTTGTTAAAATTTGATGTTCCAGCAAGGGCATGAATTGTGCTCTACCTTCTCTACTATAGATTTTTTAAAGTCTGCATAATTTTGCATTTTATGCATGTGCCATACTGTATTTGACCAGCCTTCAGCTGTTCAATGTGAGGGGCTATGGTTTGAATGTTTGTGTCCCTCCAAAGTTGATACACTAAAAGCTAATACCCAATGGGATAGGTTTAAGAGGTGGGGCTTTTGGGGAAGTGATTAAGTCATGAGTGCTCTGCTCTCATGAGTGGGATTAGTGCCCTTATCAAAGAAGCTCAAGGGCCCCTTTGCCCTTTTTCCCTTTACACCATATGAAGATACAGCCTTTGTCCCTTCAACCATGTGAGGACGCAGCAGCAAGGTGCCATCTTGGCATCTGCTGGTGCCTTGATCTTAGACTTCCCAGACACCAGAACTATGAGAAGTCAACTTATATTATTATTTTTTCTTTTTTCTTTTTTTGAGACAGAGTTTTGCTCTTTTTGCCCAGGCTGGAGTGCAATGGCGCAATCTTGGCTCACTGCAGTCTCTGCCTCATGGGTTCAAGTGATTCTCCTGCCTCAGCCTCCTGAGTAGCTGGGATTACAGGCACGTGCCACTACACCTGGCTAATTTTGTATTTTTAGTAGAGATGGAGTTTCATCATGTTGGTCAGGCTGGTCTCAAACTCCTGACCTCAAGTGATCCGCCTGCCTTGGCCTCTCAAAGTGCTGGGATTACAGGTGTGAGCCATCATGCCCTGCCAATTTATATTATTTATAATGTACCCTGCCTGTGATATTTTGTTATACCAGCAGGCACAAGTAAGACATGAGTTAACTTCATTAAAAAAATTATAGACAGTAATTCACTGAACATTCTTACCATTAAGTCTTACTACACACCCTTGATTATTCCTTTAGAATAAACTTTTGGGAATAGAATCACTAGGTCAAAGGTCGTATGCCTATTTAAAACTTTGTTATTGAGAAAGCTTGTGCTAATTTTATTGACAGCAGTGGATGAGAGTGTCTCTGCTTCCTCAAGTTTTTACCATCACTGGTTATTTTATGTGTGTGTGTGTGTGTGTGTGTGTGTGTGTGTATACATATATATATATATATTTTTTTGAGATGGATTTTCGCTCCTGTTGCCCAGGCTGGAGTGCGATGCCATGATCTTGGCTCACTGAAACCTCCGCCTCCGGGGTTCAAGCAATTCTCCTGCCTCAGCTTCCCAAGTAGCTAGGATTACAGGCACCCACCACCACCCCTGGCTAATTTTTGTATTTTTAGTAGCGATGAGGTTTCACCATGTTGGTCAGGCTGGTCTCGAACTCCTGACCTCAGGTGATCCGTCCACCTAGGCCTCCCAAAGTGCTGGGATTACAGGTGTGAACCAGTGCTCCCGGCCTGGTTATTATATTTTGAATTTTGCAAATGTTATAAGTGGAAATATCTCTTCTAAAAATAACAGATGGAAAAACTTTAAAAAAATCTTGTTGTAATTTGTATTTATTCCATGACAAATTTGGTTAAAACCTGTCATATTTATTAATCATTTCTTTTGTCTTTAGACTTTTGATGTCTGTGTAAGGCAGGGTTTAGTTGGAGGTAACAGAAACCACTCTTCTTATTTTAAGGAGAAGGAGCTTTGTCAAAGGAAATTAGCTTTTTACAAAATCACTGAAAGGGCCGGAGGAACAGGATCTATGCTGGGCTTCCAAGAATGACTCTGAGAACAACACCCTAGAACTAGTGGCTCAGGAAAGCTGCTACTTCTGCTCCAGGCAGCTTCATTCTAGATATTAGACTGTTCCTTGCTAGGTCTGCTAGAGCTTCACAGCAAAAACCAGTGCTCTGTGCCTGCTCCCAAGACACACTAAGCTACTAACTGTTATGGAATCTCTGCTACCATCACAACAGACAAACAACAACAAAAGTGAAAATAAACCAAATGTAAAATACCTCAAAATCCTAGCTTAAATGTAACAAATACGTTTTTACATACTTAAAGCAGATCAGAAGAATACCAAGGAAATTCCCAGTGGTCACAATGGAACGAAACTGGAGTTGTAAACTAATACTGAAGCCACTGCTGTGCCTAGGATATTTGTCAGTCTTGATGACCTGGATGCTTAACTGGCCATCTGTGCCTGGTAGATAATGCCTTGGCGGCAGTGAAGGGGTTGCAAATTAGGGATTTGAAACTGAGAACTCCACATAGTACCAAGACACTCAAAAAGCTACATCCTCAGGAAAAGAATGGATTGAATAAAAGAAACAAAATCTGACTTTTAGCAAAGAGAAATAACAAAAAAACTTATCTTTGCCTGTGCCCTGGGTGGAGAAAAAAAGCAGCTTCCATGGATGTGTAACTCCACATCTTTACTCTTAGGGGTTTTGGATCTGGGATTTGAGTCTACACCAAGTGGTTTTAGAAGTTAATTCTATGATCCCGAGTTGGTTGCAATTCTGGACGTCTGACAGAAGCAATGCAGATCCTTCCTGGAGGGACATAGTCTCAACCTAGGCCTTATAGAATTCCCACAGATAAGCCCTAGCTGAACATAAACTTTCACTCCAAATTAAAAAAGAATACATGAAGAAACAAGCTACCATAAGAGTCAGCAAGAACTCCTAAGAACTTAAGATAATGGATTTATCAAATGTGTTATATAAAACAAATATACCTAAAATGTTTGATTACATTTAAAAATACAAGAAAAGAGCAAGAGATATTATATAATGTAATCATATACATGCAAAAAATATACAAATTATAAGCATATAGCTTGATGGATTTTCACAATTGGAACACATCTAACTAGCACCCATAAAAAAACCCAAAACATTACTAGCATCCCCAAGTCCCCTGCCCCCATGTTTCCTTCCAGTCATGACCCATACCCTTCACAAGAGTAAGTACTATCCTAACCTCTAATAATAGCACAGACCAGTTTTAGGCAGATTTTAAAAAGCACTAAATAGAACTTCTACGAAAAAAAAAATTTTAAAACCCCAACAAACCAATGAATGAATAGTAGATTTGACATAGCTAAAGAAAGAATTGATATGGAATTAACTGGATTAAAGCTGAAAAAATTTTCTAGAACACAGCATGGAGAGACAAAATGATGGGAAAATAGCAGGAGTTAAGAGACATGGAAGATAGAATGAGGGAATCTAACCTGCTTCTAATAAAAATTTCATAAGGAGAGAACAGAAAGAACAGGTAAAAGGTGATTTTCAGCAAGATAATGTCAGAGAGTTTTTCAGAATTGCTGAAAGTTACATATCCTTAGATTCAGAAGTAATAGCGAATCCCAAGCTGAATAAGTAAAACAAATGAACACCTTAACACATTATAGGGATACCGAGGTCACTGAAGTAAAAGAGAACTATGGGCAATCACAAGGAAGAGACAAATGACTTATGAAGGCACAACAGTAAGATTAACAGCAGATTTCTCAACATTAACAATGGAAGCAAGAAGTCAGTGGAAGAGTAACATCTGCAAAATGCTGAGATGAAGAGATTTTCAGGTTGATTTTTGACAAGTCTACCTGTATGCTATTTATAAGAGATAACAAAATGATGAAAGAGGATGAAAAAATATATACCAGGCAAGTAGATAGGAAGACACAATTTCATAAAGATATCAGTTCTCTAAATCAATCTGAATTCAATTGCAATTGAATTGCAATTCTAATTAAAATTCAAACAGGATTTTTCTTGGACCTTGACAAGCTGGTTTTACATTTCAGTAGAAAAACATAGGCAAGAATACCTAGTTTCGAAGAAGCACAACGTTTGGGTTTACTCTACCAGGTGTAACTACTTATTATAAAGGTCTAATAATTCAGAGTGGTACTGATGAAGGCACAGAAAAATAGATAAAAGGTTTAGAGCAGAAAGCACAGAAAAGTGCCCATGCCTGTATAGAAATTGACAAACATCAGAGGGTCATGGAAGATCAGTGGGGAAAGAATGGTGTCCAGATTATTGGTTTTTCATCTGGGAAAAAAAATAAGGCTGAATGTTCACATTATAAACAAAAATCAATTCCAGGGTCGGCTGAAGATCTAAACAGGAAAGAGAAAAGTTTCCAACTTTTAGAAGAAAATGCTTATGACCTTAGGTTAGGGAAAGATTTCTTATAAGTCACAAAAAGTATAAATAACAATTAGATTGATAACCTCACTGATATTAAATTTTAAAACTGTGCTCAAAAGACACAAAGAGTAAAAAAATAAGCTATCGACTCCGAGAAGGTATCATATAGTTTGAATGTCTTTTTCCCACCAAATCTCAGGTTGAAATGCGATTCCTATGTTGGAGGTGGGGCCTGGTGGGAGGTGACTGGATCATGGGGGCGGTTCTCTCGTGAATGGTTTAGCATCATCCTCTTGGTGATAAGTGAGTTCTCACTCTGAGTTCATGTGAGATCTGGTTGTTTAAGAGTGTTGAACCCACCCCCACCATTTTTCTTGCTCCTGCTCTTGCCATGTGATATTGCCTGCTCCTCCTTCACCTTCCGCCATGACTGTAAGCTTCCTGAGGCCTCACCAGAAGCTGAGCAGATGTTGGTGCCATGCATGTATAGCCTGCAAAACCATTGGCCCAGACACACTTCTTTTCTTTATAAATCACCCAGTCTCAGGTGTTCTTAAAAGAACAAATGGACTAACACAAGATATATGCAACATATTTTGCCCATTAAATATTAGTAGTAGATTTTATAAAGTATCCAAAATATATGGAGACCTACTATTAAAAAGACAAACAACCCGATAGGAAAGACAGGCAATTCGCTAAAGGAAAAACCAAAATAGTAAATCAACATAGAAAAAGTTACTAGTAATCAGGAAAATGGACATTAAAACCATAGTGAAATACCGTTTCACACCCTTCAGCTTGGCTAAAATTTTAAATCTGATGATAATAAATATAATTTACAAGCTGTTGGAATCCCAGAACACTTTAAGCATTGAGAGAGATGTGACTGTGATCTGAGTCATATATGATTACAACGTCTGTTTCTCAGATTATAGATTAACTTACTTTCTTATTTTTCTTGTTCTGTACAATAACTAGAGAGAATTAAATAACACCAGGGACAACAACCTCCTGTCTTCCTAATTAATGGCCTTTGTTATTGATTAACATCCCCTTTGTTGTCCTGCCTTGCTGATCGCAGATGACAAAACCCATCGCTATTATACCCTTTATTTTAAAAAATGCTAAATGTAGCCTTCCCACAAACACTGCCTATCATCAGTCAAATTGCTATAACTATGTACCAACCTTGTATGAAAAATGTTCTAATCTTGCTAAAAGCTACCCTGTCTCTCCCTGTATAAATGAAACCTTAACTTCCCTACTTTGAACTGCCAACTCCATTCCTTGGAGTTGGTTTCCTGGTGGACTATTCTCAAACTTTGCATTTGAATACACTCCTTTAAAATTAGATTCTGACCCTTTTGATTATTTCAGGTTGACAGTACCAACAATTGATGTGGCTATGAAGCAATTTACAGTAATGATAATATAAATTGGTAATCACTTGGTAGAATAAGTTGAAAATATCTAATAAAGTTGACAATACACATACGATAAGATGCAGTAATTCCCTTTTAGGTACGCACTGCAGACAAGCCCTTGCACATGGCAGGAGATATGTCAAAGAATATTTAATGTATCATTCTGATACAGGAGCTAAAAAGAAATTATTTAGGCAGATAGTGAGGCTAAAGGAGTCCTTGGCAAGGCTGCCTTTTAAACAAAAAGCAGCCCCCAAATCATTTCTTTTCTAACAAAGAGCAGCCTATAAAATCAAGCTGCAAACATAGATAAGCAAGCTGGAAGCTTGCATGGGTGAATGCTGGCAGCTGTGCCAACAGGAAAAGGCTACCTGGGGACCAGGTATATTCAATATGGAGACTCCATCTTCCCTTTTCTTTGTCACCACGTGTGCAGTAAAGAAGCAGGCAACATGGCACCGGCCAGGTGGAGACCCCACCTGCATAGTAAAAGATTAGGGTGGGGCGGCCAGCTTCTTTGCACGCTATGCAAATGGCACACCCAGTCCTAACCAGTTCTTCGTGCTGTATGCAAATGGCACAACTGGTTTGACCAATCTTTCGTGCCCTAGCTAAATCAGACACTGCCTCCTCAAGCTTATCTATAAAACCTCCTGCGCTTCACTGTGGACCTGAAGACCCGCTCAGGACCCCCTCTATCTGCCCGAGAGAGCATTTCTCTTTCTTTCGCCTATTAAACCACCACTGTTAACTTCACTCCTTGTGTGTCTGCATCCTTGATTTCCTTGGCGTGGGACAACGAAGCCTCGGGTATTACCCCAGATGAATGACACCACGTGAATTCTTTTATAGTAGGAAATTGGAAACAAAATGTCCATTATCAGGAGAATGAATAAATAAATTGTTGTCTATATAATGGAATGCTAAATAGCAATGAAAGTGAATGAGCTAGAGCTGTGGTTGTCAACATGGATAATTCACACAATGTTGAATGGTAAATGTGAACTTCAGAAGTACACATGTGGTATACTTGTACTGGTCCTAGACTGGTGCAAATGGGGCCCCTGTCATGGGTCCCACATCTCAGGAGCTAGGGCAGAGCTTGGACAGAGACCCAGATGACTAGCTTTCCTCTCCACCCTTTGCACAGCTCCTGAGGTTGACCAGATGCCCCTAGCAGCTCTGGGCTGCACCTTTGTGTCCAAGTCTTGGTTCCAGGAAGAACTCTGAGCAGATTGCTCCTGTTGGCTGGTGCAGTTGGCTGGTGTTCCTGTTGGCAGGTGGCATAGCACAAGATTGGGCTGCCAGAATGGTACTAATATGCTGGTTTGGGCAACTCAAATTGTTTATATAGACAGACGCCCCCACAAAAAATACTTGCTTATGATTCCACACACCTTTGGGCATATAAAGCTTAAAAATGTGCAGTATAGGCCAGGCATGGTGGCTCACACCTGTACTCCCAGCACTTTGGGAGGCCGAGGTGGGCAGATTGTGAGGTCAAGAGATCGAGACCAGGCCAGGTGTGGTGGCTCACCCCTGTAATCCCAGCCCTTTGGGAGGCCAAAACGGGCGGATCACAAGGTCAGGAGATCGAGACCATCCTGGCTAACACAGTGAAACCTGTCTCCACTAAAAAAATACAAAAATTAGCCAGGTGTGGTGGTGGGTGCCTGTAGTCCCAGCTACTCAGGAGGCTGAGGCAGGAGAAGGGCATGAACCCAGGAGGCGGAGCTTGCAGTGAGCCGAGATGGAGCCACTGTACTCCAGCCTGGGCAACAAAGCGAGACTCCATCTCAAAAAAAAAAAAAAAAAAAAAAAAAGTCCAGGCGCGGTGGCTCATGCCTGTAATCCCAGCACTTTGGGAGGCCGAGACAGGTGGATCACAAGGTCAGGAGTTCAAGACCAGCCTGGCTAAGATGGTGAAACCCCATCTCTACTAAAAATACAAAAATTAGCCAGGCATGGCGGCAGGCGCCTATAATCCAGCTACTCAGGAGGCAGAGACAGGAGAATTGCTTGAACCCGGGCAGCAGAGGTTTCAGTGAGCCGAGATTGCGCCACTGCACTCCAGCCTGGGTGACAGAGTGAGCCTCCCGAGTAGCTGGGACTACAGGCACCCGCCACCACACCGGGCTAATGTGTTTTTGTATTTTTAGTAGAGACGGGGTTTCACCGTGTTAGCCAGGATGGTCTCGATCTCCTGACCTCCTGATCCGCCCGCCTTGGCATCCCAAAGTGCTGGGATTCCAGGCGTGAGCCACCGCGCCCGGCCTATCATGTTTTATTTCTTAAGCTGGGTAGTGGGGGAGTAAAAGGTGCTGATTGTGTTATTTTTTATGCCTTTGTGTATTATTTGATTTTTTTTTCTTTTTTTTTTAAGAGGAAGAAGTGAAGATAAGAAACCACTCGAAGCCGGTGTCTGGTGCTGGGACCGTGGTGGCTGGGACGGCAGCAGTCGTGCTGTCCATCTGCTCTTCCGAGGGGTGGCACATCCTAGCCTCTATCTTTTCCCCAGAGAAGATCCCCCTCGTCTGCTCTTCCCCCGTCTCAGCCTTTTAGTGTGTGAACAGTTCTGGTGTTACTCAGCAACGCTTTTGTTAGCGCCTTTACCAGCAAGTACTTGTTAAACACTTAAATCTTACAAGTGGAAAGAAAATTCCGTGGTAAATTTAAGTACAAAAGTCAACCAAAATTCTGAGTCTCGGACAAGACTGGTTAAAAATCGTTCTACAATGAAACTAATAAATTAAATCATATAAAACTTTTATTGCTTTGCAAGGAAGCTTTAGTATTAAATGTAAGCATTTTCATCTGGTGATTCTTCCCAGTCTCCTGTGGTAATAATACCTGGACAGGGAAGAAATCTTTTGAGATAACTAAACTATACTGGGAAATGGGCCCCTTGCTAAGTTTCCTGTGGCAGTGACACCCCCTCTGTTGCAAATATTTTCTCCGATGCGTGGTTTCAGTTCCAAGCCAAACCCGTTCTACAGCGTGCTTTGTACCTTTCCAGAGACTGATCGGTATCAGCTTGCCAGGGCTTTAAACCCCATTCATTCTTTCATTACTTAAAAGCCTCTTTCTTTGGAAAACCTTTGAGTGAAGCATAAAATTAGCATCTAAAAAGACATAGCAGCAACTGAACCCAGGAACGTCAGGGAATATGTGACCACCAGCACCATTATTGACCTTCCTAAGTGCAGTTTGATGGGGGAAGGGGCTATGCAGGTGGAAAAAGGTGGCCGAGAGGTGGAGGTCCCCCGGCAGGGGCAGTCGCCTCTCTGGCCTGAGCCAGAAACTCCCAATTCTCATGGGTGGCTGATGAGAGAACCCCTCCCCTCCTTTGTATTTAATCCTTTCTCTAACTCACTTCTAAGCTGACATCAGAAAATCTTTGAAGAAAAGCACAGGGGAGGCCTATTTCAGTGACTTTCACTTCTCTAAATGTTTGTTCTTTTCAGTTAGTTGTAAAATATGTTTGAATAATATTTTCAATTCTCTTTCACCACTGTTCTACAAAATGTGAGCCTGTAGGCATTGTTTTTTTTAAATGAAAAAGAAAAGATTGATTTTAGGAATCACATTCAAAGTGTTTGATGAATCAGGGCTCAGCTTAGCATTCAAGAACATGGCTGGGAAGTTTCCACTTTGTTTTCGCCCTAGATTCGTCTTTAAATCTTTTGTCTCCTATATTTTTCCAGCTCTGTGGACTTCTTTGAAGAGAAGAGGGCTATGAGGATTGAAGAAAGAAAGGCTTTTATCCAGTAATTTGTAATGATCCCATTGGATGATTATGGAATATTTTTTGTATACGTAACCCCTCAGGGAAAATCTGAGCCTATCTCTACCCTTAAAAACTCTGGTAGCCTGATGGCGGGTGGCGGGGAGAGAAGAAATCCTGTTTCTCCTTTCCCTGATTTTGTCCCCAAACTACATCTTGCTTTGAAAGTAGAGGAGTTGGAAGGAGAGGAGTTAGTCTCTCATGGGGCCCCTGGAAGGCAGATAGCTGCCAATCTTTGTGTGCATTTTGTCAAGAATGGCTGCCTTCTAAAAACAAACCAACTCTCCTCGATGCCTCAGGTCAGGGATCTGGGAGAGACTGGATTGTATAAAAGATGTTTCCAAGGCAAAAAAGCATTGCTCTCTTGGGGCATTTACAGAGGATGTCATCAGTGGGCACTTGGAAGTTCTAGAAGTCATGTGGGGTGCTGGTGTCTGCAGTTCCTGGTGTGCTCAGGACATTCTGTGTCTGCATAGAGGGTTGCTGCCCTATGGCTGGCCAGCTCATACCTGCACAATTACTTCCAGCACCTTGGCAGGCAGGAAAGGGACTACAAATATACCAACAGGGTAGGCGTTTGCTCTGGGGAAGAGGCTGATTTGGGGTGAATAGTTCATACCACAGGAAGCCCGCTGTGTGTGGTGGGCAGGTGACATTTGGACTGGGCTCCTGGTGGCTTTTGGCTCTCTTCCAGTTTGGCCTAACAATGAAATTACACGTTGAAGGGGTTTGTTACTGTTGATCTTTATTCCACAGCCTGGCTTCTTGGTAAAGGCATCCATGTTGTCCGTGTCTACATTTCCTCATCTCCCATTAATTCCCCACCAGCCCACAGTTTGCTTTCAGCCTTCACAGCTCCTGGGAAATGTCTCCCCATCTGTTGCCATCCTGGGGCCCCTCCCGAGGCTTAGTCTCCTTCCTCTTCTGCCCAGAGCTCAGCCCCTTGGCTGCTTTGCCACCTCCCTCCTCTAAAGTCACCCACTTTGGGAGCTTCTCATTTTTCTGTCTCCTTTGCCCTTTCCTTATGTTTAGTTGTTCCCAGACTCCTGGGACTTAAGTTCAAACCCCAACTCTACCATTTATTACCACTGAGGCCTGGGCAGGTCATATAACTTGCTTCAACCTTAGATTCCTTCCCTGTGAAATGGGGATAATATAGTACATACCTCATGTGGGGGAAGATGCAAAGAGACAATACTTATAAAGTGATTTACATGGAGCTTCTTATGGGGAAAGTACTTACTAGATGCTAGTTAACATCACTGTTACTCCTTTCTCACTCTGCCCACTGTCCACCCACTACAGCCAGAGGCCTTAACAGCTTCCATTCTTTGAAAGGTTGCCCTCTAGCCTAGCCCTTCCTCCTCAGTCTACACCCCAGGATGCTGGGTATCTCCAGCACCATAAATATTGCAGAGCAGTGAGTAATACCTGTTGGGTTCACTGAACCCACTTCATAGGCCCCACTCCCTGTGCTCAGTGAGCAATAAGTCCTCTCGTAGATTCCACACTGTTAAATAGAAGAAATAATGCTGATCATGGCTGTGCACTTTGTTCACTATGCAAAGGTACTTGGGAGAGCACCGCTGGCTGGAGAGTATATGGTAGCTGGGGGACCCAGGAAGAAGGTCTTTCTCTATCTCAAGCCTTCTTTGAAATTCAGATATGTTGGAAGACTTCCTAGTGTCTTTCAGGGCTGCGAAGTTACCCAACAACCTTTAATTGTGTGCATTGCTTTTTTTTTTTTTTTTTTTTTTTTTGAGATGGAGTCTTGCTCTGTCATCCAGGCTGGAGTGCAGTGGCATGATTTTGGCTCACTGCCTCCGTCTCCTGGCTGGTCTCAAAATCCTGACCTCAGGTGGTCCACCTGCCTTGACCTCCCAAAGTGCTGGGATTACAGGTGTGGGCCACCACCCCCAGCCTGTGCATTGCTTTCTTTCTTTTTTTTTTTTTTTTTTTAAGACAAGGTCTTGCTCTGTCACCCAGGCTGGAGTACAATGGTGCAATCTTGGCTCACTGCAACCTCTGCCTCCCAGGCTCAAGCGATCCTCCTACCTCAGTCTCCCAAGTAGCTGGGACTACAGGCACACACCACCACCCCCAGCTAATTTTTGTATTTTTGTAGAGACAGAACTTCACCATGTTGCCCAGGCTGGTCTTGAACTCCTGAGTTCAAGCAATCTGCCTGCGTTGGCCTCCCAAAGTGTTGGGATTCCAGGTGTGAGCCACCACACCCAGATTCTAATATTTTTCTATAATGCGAGATACAACCTCCCACCCGTGATTGTCGTGATATAAATATAAACATATTTGGTATGGAACCCAGGCCTGAAACCTAGGCTCACCATTATTGTGTCACCTTGTACTGTGACTGCCACCCCTCGAGCTGGCCCCTGCCGCACAAGTCACATGACCTCTGTGCAGAGGGCAGAATCTGCTGGTTCCTCCTGAGTGTCAAACTCCTAGTCCCCTGTCTCCTTGGGGCCAGCTCCCTTCTTTTTGCTGTTGGGACTGACCGACCGCCCATCACAGCTTCCAGCGCTGCTGCTCAGAGCCCCTCCCCGTGCTCTAAGGAGCTGCCCCTCTCCTGGCATTCTCCTCTCTTCCCTTCAGTCTCCTTGAAGTGTGGAGAAAGAGGCAGGCATTTTACAGCCATTTACAGCCAGGCACAGTCCTTCTAGCCCGTTGGAGAGAGGCCTGTCTGTGAGGAGGGGAGGTCTGTGACAAAGATTCTCTCCTTGACCAAACTCTAGCCCAGCCTCCTCTGAGCTGTTTTTCAATGAGGCTCTCTCCTTAGACACATCCTTAAAATCCCAGTTTTAGCAAGAATCCTGCTAAGTCAGTTTAGCCTCGATAGTGGGTCACCCTCCGTATCTGATCAAATCCTCGCCCCCACCATAGCCTTGGCCTGCCTTCAGCAAGAGCCCTCTTAGTTGAGTATAGCCAGAATCCCCATGGCCTGATGTTTCATCTGAATCATTTTCCATCTGCTGAGCCTCCTGCCCTGCTCCATGGCTAACAACTCCCACTTTCCCCTATCTCTCTGTCCTGCTGCAAAATCCCATTGCGGTGGTCCCTGTCACTATCATGATAGTCCTGAGTAAAGTCCGTCCTTTAACAAGGGTGAGGGCCAGTTGTGGTGGCTCACGCCTGTAATCCTAGCACTTTGGGAGGCTTAGGCGGGCGGATCACCTGATGTCAGGAGTTTGAAACCAGCCTGGCCAACATGGTGAAACCCTGTCTCTACTAAAAATACAAAAATTAGCTGAGTGTGGTGGTGCACGCCTGTAATCCCAGCTACTAAGGAGGTTGAGGCAGGAGAATTGCTTGAACCTGGGAGGTGGAGGTTGCAGTGAGCCGAGATTGCGCCACTGCACTCCAGCCTGGGCGACAGAGGGAGACTCTACATCAAAAAAACAAACAAACAAACAAAAAAACCCCAAAAAACCAAAAACAAAAACAACACAAAAACAAGGGTGAGAATAATCTTTTCCTTAACATGTGGGTGGACCACTGCTGCAGGCCATGTGAGATGGGAAAGCTGGGGGCCCATATCCAGCTTTCCCTGCTTTCCCATTGGGGGGCTCCATGTGGATGTAACAACAGGAGAAGCTACAGGCACGTCATGATTTCCCTTGTTCTTTGGGAAATCTGAAAGAATGAATCCTTTCCTAATCCCAGAAAGGCAGCCAACCTTTGAGACCTTGAGGGTAGACTGCAAAGTTCACATCTCACAGGGGTCAGGTAGGTTATGTAAATTTGTAAAGTGTTCCCGGTGCTACGAAAGGGAGGAGTGGAGACTGTGGCAAAGCAGAGAACACATGTCCCATGGAACGCTGTCGGTCGGCTCCAACCAGTTACGGCTTCTGGGACTGTGGGCCTGGTCTTGCCAGTGCACCTGAAGACAGGAAGCTGGGTTTTTACATGAAAATTCGATTTTGTAAAGTGTTGGCAAGTAGTAAAAATAGAGTATGGTCAAAACAACTCAGAATTTTGCCTTCAGGCATCTGGTTTGTAATATCTGGGCTAGAGTCTCATTATCCCTCTTGTTGAGGGAGGGAAGTTATTAGGACCGCCAGTGGGAAGGAAGGAGGCTGCTCACTGGCAGGAAGAGGGAAGTGGTGCAACCTGGAGTCAAGGTGGATGGCTTAGGTTTAGGCCTTTGGGGGATTTCCTTGGGGCGGGGGGTGGGACGGTGCACTGTGTGCCTGCAGTGTCTTCAGTGGGCACCTGAGTTGCCCCTGGAGAGCTGCCAGCCCCACCTGAAAGCCTGGACTTCTTGGCTCAGATCTTCATGTGAGGCTCAGCCAGGAAGAAGGGGTGCCACCCACCTTTGTGAGGCCACATGAGTTATGCCAGCAACCCCAGATCCATAGGACCTTCCTCCAGTTGGACTTCTGTGGACTGCACAGGCCCAGGAGTTCCTACATGAGCCCAAGGGGTGTGGAGAGTGCAATCCCCAAAACATGGCTCAGACTGGATTATCTGCCAGGTCGGGGACTGAGGGCCAAGCCATGTTTAATTGATTTAGAAAATGAAGAGATGGAGGCCGGGCATGGTGTCTCACACCTGTAGTCACAGCACTTTGGGAGGCTGAGGTGGGTGGATCACGAGTCAGGAGTTCAAGATCAGCCTGGCCAACATGGTGAAACCCCATCTCTACTAAAATACAAAAATTAGCCAGGTGTGGTGGTGTGCGCCTGTAGTCCCAGCTACTCGAGTGGCTGAGGCGGGAGAATTGCTTGAACCCACGAGCCAGAGGTTGCAGTGAGCTGAGATTGAGCCACTGCACTCCAGCCTGGGTGACAGTCGCAAGACTCCATCTCCAAAAAAAAAAAAAAAAAAAAGAGATGCAAAAATATCCCAGGTATCTTCGTATGTCAGTATATGTGTGTGTGTTTAGTATCTCCTGATTGGGACCCAGTTTGAAAGCCTGAGAGTTCTGGAGATGTGGATGCCTGAGAATCATGGTTTTACTAGGCAAAGATTTTCTCCTCTTCTCAAAATAGCTGTAGCTATTAGACATCCTAAGTATTTAGGTTCCATATCACTTTCTCCAGTTGGGGCCGGTTTTAGGAAATTGTCCAGGTGCCTGGTTTCCTTGTACAAACACCTTGCTGACTTACCCACTAGTATCGAAGCCGCTGAGTTTTCATGACTCTGTCACTGACTTTAATACTTGCTTTTCCCTTGACTGAACTTCGGATGTTTAAATGGAATTTAGTGACGTTTTCACACCACATTTTTCATTATTTAGCACTTTGGAAACAGAGGTTGTTTTGTTATAAGCTTTTTATTCTTCTTAACCTCCTCTGAATACTTGAAACCTTTCACGACGGAAATGAGTTTACTGTGACCTGACTCGGTATTATACAATAAACGCATGATTCTCAAAACACGCTGTTTATATGGAGAATAAACGCGGTCCGGAACACAGTGTTCAGTGTCTGAAATGAAATGCAAGTCTCCTGTTTCCAAAGGCTGACAGGATGGTTGCTGAATGATATTCCAGCTGCTCAAATGAAGGGCCCTGGAAAGGTCTGTTGGAAGTGAATTCGAGGGCGTTGCCTCTTCGTGGTTGGGTTTGCTCTCTGCAGACCCAGGAAGGCCCTACTTTCCCTGAATTCTGAGCTTCAAAGCTTACATCTGTGTCCTTCTGCTTAACAACCTGTTTTAGCAACCAAGTATGCCAAGATGTTACTGTCACATTAAACTGTGTACCCCTGCACTCTCCTTTCCTTTCCTTTCCTTTCTCCCCTCCCTCCCTCCCTCCTTCCTTCCTTTTTTTTTTTTTTTCCAGTATCTCACTCTGTTGCCCAGGTTGGAGTGTAGTGGCATGATCTCAGCTCACTGCAACCTCCACTTCCCGGGTACAAATAATTCTCATGTCTCAGCCTCCTGAGTAACTGGGATAACAGGCATGTGCTACTATAGCCTGGCTAATTTTGGTGTTTTAGTAGAGATGGGGTTTCACCATGTTGGCCAGGCTGGTCTCGAACTCCTGGCCTCAAGTGATCTGCCTGCCTCGGCCTCCCAAAGTGCTGGGATTACAGGCATGAGCGACCGCACCCGGCCTGCGCTTCCTTTCTTGATCACACCACCACAGTCTTGACCTGCAGGTCAATCTATACCTTATTTGACATGAAATATTGTCAGCAAGTCTAATGGAATATTCCACCAGAGTGGGAAACCCATCTCCAAGATGCAGTGGTGAGCTATTAATTAAAGCTGGCTCGTGCCCTCAGAGCAACTTTCTTTGATGCTGCTTGTGACAGGTCAACCTTTGCATCCTATGCCCAGTGGAGCCTGCTCTGCCTGGTGTTATCATTTGTCCTTTAGGGACGGCGTGGCCTTTTTCTTCATGTCTGTGTTAGATGTCATCCAAGTGAATTGCTTCTTTCTCTTTCCTGTTTATTTGTTATAGGGTGTCACCTCTTAGCCATCTGAGCACTGGGCTGGCTGCCAAAAACAGAGGTGATGATGTAACGTGCCAACTCTCACATGGCTCAGAGGAGGAGGACCCCAGGACTCCAGGATGGGACAGGGCAGCCACTTCTCACCAAGGTGACACTGGGGCTTCTGAGCCAGCCTCTGAGTGGGGAATGGGGGGAAGGGCAACATGATGGAGGGGTCAGTGACACACCCCCGTCCCCATGAAGAAAGGATTTCTACTTTGAAATTCGTCTACTAGAAACTAATTCCTTCTGCTCAGTTTTCTTCCTCAGGAAGGGGTGTGTGTGTGTGTGTGTGTGTGTGTGTGTGTGTGTGTGTGTATTTTGACAGTTCTTTCTTTTTCTTTCTTTCTTTGAGACGGAGTTTCGCTCTTGTTGCCTAGGCTGGAGTGCAATGGCACGATCTTGGCTCACTGCAACCTCCGCCTCCCAGGTTCAAGCGATTCTCCTGCCTCGGCCTCCCGAGTAGCTGGGATTACAGGCATGCGGCTACCACACCCAACTAATTTTGTATTTTTAGTACAGACAGGGTTTCTCCATGTTGGTCAGGCTGGTCTTGAACTCCTGAGCTCAGGTGATCCACCCGCCTTGGCCTCGAAAGTGTTGGGATTACAGGCGTGAGCCACCGCACCCGGCCAACAGTTCTTTCTTCAAAAGTGTTACATATTCATTGTAGAAAAATTTAAAAACTCACAGAGGCAATAAGTCATTAAGATCAATCAAGAACTATATACATATAATCACTATTCAAACCTGAGGGGTGTGTGTATCTGTGTGCGTATGTTTGTGCATTTGCACACGTATGTGTAGAGACAGAATTTCATTTCTTTTTCTTTCTTTTTTTTTTTTTGAGATGAAGTCTTGCTGTCGCCCAGGTTGGAGTGCAGTGGCACGATCTCGGTTCACTGCAACCTCCCTCTGCCTTCTGGGTTCAACCAATTCTGCTGCCTCAGCCTCCGGAGTAGCTGGGACGACAGGCGCCCACCACCACGCCCTGCTGATTTTCATATTTTTTGTAGAGATGCGGTTTCACCATATTGGCCAGGCTGGTCTCGAACTCCTGACCTCAGGTGATCTACCCATTTTGGCCTCCCAAAGTGCTGGGATTACAGGCATGAGCCACCGCACCAGTATAAAAACTGGTATCATGTAATACACACATTTTCACTACTTTAAAAAAATTTGTCATGTGGTGAAGACTTTTTCTTTCCAATAAATATCAATCTATATCATTATTACATGGGTCTGTCAAAATTGGTTTAAATAAAGAAATAATTTAGTTTCCAGATTTATGCTTGGGTGAAGGTGTTTGAAGTTAATTTGTTTTTTCCTCTTTTTGAGACAGTCTCGCTCTGTCATCCAGGCTGGAGTGCACTGGTGCTATCGTGGCTCACTGCAGCCATGACCTCCTTGGTTCAAGTGATCCTCCCATCTCAGCCTCCTGAGTAGCTGGAATTGCGGGCATGTGCCACCACTCCTGGTTAATTTTTTTTTTTTTTTTTTTTTGATATTTTTTATAGAGACAGGGTTTCACCATGTTGCCAGGCTGGTCTTGAATTCTTGGGCTCAAGTGATCCTCCTGCCTCAGCCTCCCAAAGTGCTGGGATTACAGGCGTGAGACAACACTCCCGGCCCCGGGAAAAACTTTTTACTTCATGAAGATGAAATATTGGACCCAAATTTCTGTCTTCAGTGAGGATTTCTTTGGAGAATCCTTGGCCATATTTAGCTTTAATTCAGGCGGTGCTGGACTCACGACTCAGTGTGTGCATTGGAGTTCTCTCTGCAGTGCTGGCTTTCTGAGGAAAGGGTATGACCGCAAACATTTTTTCAGGATATCAGAACTGCCTTCCTACCGACCCTTTGGGGCTAGCAAGAAGTGAAGCCATTTGGATGACTATTCAGGGCGCTAAACAGCCTGTCTGCTTCATATTGCTAAAAGAATCCAACACTCATCTTTTCTCACCTAGGAGCTGCATACAATTTCAGCAACTGCAAGGGATCCAGACCAGCTCTAATAATCACCACTTCTATATACCTAGTGGTTAGAATAGGCTCTTTTCCAAGTGCTTTATGCCTATTAATTTATTTACTCCTCATGAAAGCCCTGAGAGGAAGGTGCTGTCACTAAAGCCCACACCACTGCGGGAACACAGGCATCCAGAGGCCAGGCAACTGTGAAACTGCCTTTGCAAAATTAAGACTAAGACAGTGAGAGAGATCTAACTTAACCGACTCCATCTTGCTTCTCACCTCCAAGCTGTCCTTGTTCATTCCTGGGCATAGACTGAACTAACTTTGGGAAATACTTAGTTTATAGTTTATAGTTTAAAACAAAGACGATAACAGCCCTTTCCCAAAGCTGACCTCCTTCTTGCCTGGGGACTAGATTGCCTTTGTAGGACTAACATCAGCCACAAGGTTAGAAATTATAGTTTAGGAGTCGTGCAGCTGGAGGCTACAAGATTCTGACCCTCCCTAAACTGCTCCTAAGATCAGTGCTTGAGATATTTGCAGACCCTGCACTTGATGGATCAGCTGGCACCACCCCATCAATAAACTGGCTCACCTGATCCTGTGGCCCCCACCCAGGAACTGACTCAGCACGAGACAGCTTTGACTCCCTGTGATTTCACCCCTGACCAATCAGCACCCCGGCTCACTGGCTTTCTCCTGCCCATCGAATTGTCCTTAGAAACTCTGCTCCCAGCATGCTCGGGGAGACTGATTTGAGTAATAATAAAACTCCAGTCTCCTACACAGTCGGATTTGCATGAATTACTCTTTGTCTATTGCAGTTCCCCTGTCTTGGTGAATTGGCTCAATCTAGGCAGCAGGCAAGGTGAACCCCTTGGGTGGTCACAACTGGCCCATAAGTGCGAGGCTCATGAGCAGCGAAGCAGGCCAGCCCCCCAGGCAGCTGGCTCTGACCACTAACGCTTTCCCATTTCCCGTAGAACTGGTGTGCAGCCATTAGTTCACACAAGTCACATGAAAGCCCTGTGTTTCCAAACGTGCAGCCGCTCCGCACCACAACAAATATCGTGTTGGTCGGAAAACAATAGCTCTCCCCTCAGACACACAGTGAACCTTCTCATTCTGAATATGTCCATTTCTTCAATAACTACAAGAGGTATCTGCTATGTGCCAGGTGCTGTTCTAGAAACACATTGATATTCTTTTTTTTTTTTTTTTTCTTCAGAAGCCAGTTGGAGTTTATGGTTTCATTTGCCCAAAAATACGCCTTTGGGGACCTCAAATTCTTTCCAAGAATCACTACCACACATATTAATTTGAACATTTCCCACCCTTCCACCATCCCTGTTTCTCCTGAGAGCTTCAAAATAAAAATGGCCTGTGTGCCCCCACTCCAGGTCCTCGTGCAGGGCTCTCTCTTCTTCTCTGGGGACTGCAGTTCTGACGCAGATGATGGTGCTGTTCCAGTGCTGGGCCATTGCACAACACGAGTTTTGTTTCCGGGAATTTTTTTTTTTTTTTGAGAGGGAGTCTTGCTCTGTCGCCCAGGCTGGAGTGCAGTGATGCAATCTCGGCTTACTGCAACCTCCGCCTCCCAGGTTCAAGCAATTCTCCTGCCTCAGCCTCCCGCGTAGCTGGGACTACAGGTGCAGGCTGCCATGCCTGGCTAACTTTTTGTATTTTAGTAGAGACAGGGTTTCACCATGTTGCCCAGGCTGGGCGCGAACTCCTGACCTCAGGTGATCCGCCCGCCTTGGCCTCCAAAGTGCTACAGGCATGAGCCACCGTGCCCAGCCTCCGGGCGGTTTTATAGAAGGCTTTAGACTGTGTTCCCAGCCCTCGGATTTGGACACCAAGCCACCTCGCTTCTCACCTCGCTCTAACAAACACTCCATGGTGTTGTGCACAACGATTTGGGTTTCATCTGGTTCGGCCTGCACGTTAGTCACAGGGTCAGCGTCTCGTGGGTTCTGGTGTCTACTGAGGTGACCATCCAGGGCTGCAGAATGGATTGTAGCAGGGGATCCTTCTGGCCAGTCTATCCTGTTGACTTGCTTGGAGAATTCATCTAGTACTTTCTCCAGCAAGGTAAAGGCCATCCGGGATGGGCATTCATTGTCACCTGCAAGACTGTCATTCCGGACATAGACGTGCCACATATAGTCTTGTTCTTCGACAGAAGCTCTAGTGCCTTTGGATGAGTGCTCCACGATCAGTTGATTCGTGAAGGTCATGAATTCCTGAACGCTGGATCTCTGGAAAAAGCTGAAGGAAGCGACATCGTCGTACCTGGCTTTGAGCAGCACTGCCTTGGCCTCGCCTTTGTAGAGGACACTGAGGCTGTACAGCTTCATGGCTCTGCGCCCTCAGGCCACCTGCCTGCCCAGCTGTGGGACCCACTCTCAGGGATCAGCGCTGCCCCTCGGGACCACAGCTGCCTACCGGCCTCTCAGCCCCGGGCAGCTGAGCAGCCAACAGGGCCAGTGCCGGCTTCCTCCTCCTGGCTCGGGATCCACCCACACTGGTATTCATAACAGATGTATGCACAAGGCATGGAAGCTACTCAAAACACACAAAGATACCTGCCTCCTGGAGGGGATGTTGCTCAGACCAGCAAGTAACAGGCCCTTGCATAAGAAACTAAGAGCTTTAGAGGGGCACCCCCTGCCTGCGCAGGCCCAGGTATAATTGTAATGGAGAAGCTGCACTTCAGTCCCTCAGCCAAAACCTCTCTTGGGGGCCTTTCACTTGATTCCAGCTGTCCTGTCTTCCTGGCTCCCAGTGGGCTATGCTGTCTTCCCAAGTTACTCCATTTCCTGATCCCAGGACCAGACACTGTGCATCCACCCATCCAGTGAATTGTTTCAATCACTCGTTCAATCACCTCTTATTGAGTTCCTCCTTGGTGACAGGCACTGTGCTGGCTGGTAGAAACATACAGATAAACAAGGCAGCCTGTTGCCCGTGAGCCAGCTCCGGGACATTCGGGTGGAAAGCACCATGTGTTCCTGAAGCAGTCAGTTAAGTTTGATGACATATTCTGTATTTGGAATGAAAGATAGAAATTGGGCCGGGTTTGGTGGCTTACGCCTGTAATCCCAGCACTTTGGGAGGCCGAGGCAGGAGGATTGCTTGCTTGGGCCCATGAATTTGAGACTAGTTTTGGCAATAGAGTGAGACCTGGTCTCTACAAAAAACAAAACAAAACGAAACAAAAACAAAAACAAAAAACTAGCTGGGCATGGTGGCATGCACCTGAAGTGGGAGGATTGCTTGAGCCCATGAGGTTGAGGCTGCAGTGAGCTGTGATCATGCCACTGCACCCCAGCCTGGGTGACAGAGCAAGACTCTGTTTTAAAAAAATAATTGAACAAATATTTAAAAAGAATGTCTGCAAAATTGTTTCTGGTTTCTCTGGGTTTCTTCCCATCAGGTAGCAGAATGTTAGAGTAGGAAGAGGATTTGCGAGATCATCCAGCCAACCTCCTGGCTGCCTTACAGAAACTTGAAAATGGTCTAGGATTGAGAACTCGCTCCTTAGATGTTTCAGAGGCATAACCTACTGTGCACAAGCAGACTTGTTCAAATTGATGTTTAACATTGATAGGCTATACTATTATCTCTAACCAGTTGTTCTACACCCTGCCCCAATCACTTTTTTTTTTTTTTTTTTTGAGACAGAGTCTCGCTCTGTCACCAAGGCTGGAGTGCAATGGTGCGATCTCAGCTCACTGCAACCTCTGCCTCCTGGGTTCAAGCGTCTCCTGCCTCAGCTTCCTGAGTAGCTGGGATTACAGGCACCCGCCAACACGCCCACCTAATTTTTGTATTTTTAGTAGAGATGGAGTTTCACCATGCTGGCCAGGCTGGTCTCGAACTCCTGACCTCAGGTGATGCACCTGCCTCGGCCTTCCAAAGTGCTGGGATTACAGACGTGAGCCACCGCGCCAGGCCCCCAATCACTTTTAATGTAGGCAAATTCGTAGGAGCTCTGAAATATACAGTCAGGTGTTGCTTCACCATGGGGTTATGTTGTGAGAAGTGCATTGTTAGGTAATTGTGTTGTTTTGGAAACATCATAGAGCGCATTTACGCAAACCTAGATGGTGCTTCACCGTGGGGTTATGTTGTGAGAAGTGCATTGTTAGGTAATTGTGTTGTTTTGGAAACATATAGAGTGCATTTACGCAAACCTAGATGGTATCGGCCTACCACATACCTAGGCTAAGTGGTAGAGCCCATTGCTCCCAGGCTACGGACCTGTACAGCAAGTACTGAGTACTGCAGGCAATTGCAGCACAATAGGAAGTATTTATGTCTCCAAACGTATCTAAACAGAAAAGGTAAAATACAAATATGGTAATATAATCTTAAGGGACCGCATCAAGAAATGACTGGCAAAGTTCACGTAAAAATGCCCTTGGCAATTATGCATGATTTGACCTGCAATAACTACTGGGTCCCACATAATGAGCGGAAGGTCGGGCACCCTACTACACCTCATAATTCACATGGGTAATTTGATGTAGTTGTTAATGGTCTGCCGTAAAAAAGAGTCATCATCCTAACAGCTCCAAAGCTATTTCTGTAACTGATCTTTATCCTAGCAGTCACAGCCGAACACGCCCACATGGATCCTCAGTGAAAGGCAAAGTTAGAAGCTGGCAAGCTCTCCATTAGCTGCAATCATGCTGGTCTAAGATGAATCCTTTTATTGGAAATCTGGTGGGCAAAGCCACAGAAGCTCTCTTTTCTCTGGGAAATAATATAGCTTCTAGGTAATGTGTGCTTTACAGCCCACACCTCCTGGCCATGCTTTGCCCTAGGGATGGGGTGACACAGTGGGAGAGAGTGAGGGGGAAGGGAAGGGGGAGAGGGAGGAGGAAGAAAGAGGGAGGGAAAGCGGGTGGGGGAGGAGGAGTGGGCATGAGGGGGAAGAGAGAAGGAAGGGGAAGCGGAAGGGGAGAGGGAGAAGAGGGAGGGGAAGTGAGAAGGAAGGGGAAGAGAGGGAGAAGGAGGAGGAAGGAAAGGGACAAGAGGGAAGGATGAGAGGGAGAGAGAAGGGCTTCAAACAACCTTCAACACACACAGAATGGCCCTCTGCTTCTATTTCTTTCTTTTAACCAATAATTTAATTGAAAAAGAATTTTAAGGCCCAGTGTATTGGCTCATGCCTGTAATCCCAGCACTTTGGGAGGCTGAGGCAGGTGGATCACTTGAGGTCAGGAGTTTGAGACCAGCCTGGCCAACATGGTGAAACCCTGTGTCTACTAAAAATACAAAATTGTGCTGGGGAAGCTGAAGCAGGAGCTACTGGGGAGGCTGAGGCAGGAGAATCACTTGAACATGGGAGGCAGAGGTTGCAGTGAGCTGAGATTGCGCCACTGCACTCTAGCCTAGGCAACAGAGTGAGACTCTTGTCAAAAGAAAGAAAGAAAGAAAGAAAAGAAGGAAGGAAGGAAGGAAGGGGAAGGAAGGGAAGGGAAGGAGGGAGGGAAGGAGGGAGGGAAGAAGGAAGGAAGGAAGGAATTTTAAGGCTAAGTACAGACAGTCACGTACCAGTTTCAGTCAACTATGAACCAAATATACAGCAATGGTATATTTGCTGTGTCCCATAAGAGTATAATGGAGCTGGAAAATTCCTATCACCCAGTCACATCTTGATGATCCTGAACCTGTGTAGGCTAATGTATATGTATGTGTCTTAGTTTGTAACAACAAATTTTTAAAGTAAAAAAAAATAAAAAAATTTTTAAAATAGAAAAAAGTTTATAGAATAAGGATACAAAGAAAGAAAATAATTTTGTAAAGCTGTAAAATGCGTTTGTGTTTTAAGCTGTTTTGTAAAAGAGTCAAAAAGTTAAAACAAATTAAAAAGTTTATAAAATAAGAGAGTTACAGTAAGCTAAGGTTAATTTATTATAATATTATTATATAATTTATAATTAATTTATTATAATAATATTCTTTTAAAATATGGAACACTGCATGAATTTACATGTTGATATGGTTTGGCTGTGTCCCCACCCAAATCTCATCTTGAATTGTAATCCCCATAATCCCCACATGTCATAGGAGGGACCCAGCGGGAAGTGATTGGATCACAGGGGCAATTTCCCCCATGCTGTTATTGTGATAGTGAGTGAGTTGTCATGAGATCTGATTTTTTTTTTTTTTTTTTTGCGACAGAGTCTTGCTCTGTAGCCCAGGCTGGAGTGCAATGGCATGATCTCGGCTCACTGCAACCTCTGCCTCCTGGGTTCAAGTGATTCTCCTGCCTCAGCCCCCTGAGTAGCTGGGATTACAGGCACCTGCCACCTTGCCCGGCTAATTTTTGTATTTTTAGTAGAGACGGGGTTTCCCCATGTTGGCCAGGCTGGTCTTGAACTCCTGACCTCAGGTGATCTGCCCGCCTCGGCCTCCCAAAGTGCTAGGATTATAGGTATGAGCCACCGCGCCCTGCCGAGATCTGATGGTTTTATACATGTCTAGCATTTCCCCTGCTTGCACTCACTTCTCCTTCCTGCTGCCTTGTGAAGAAGGTGCCCTGCTTTTCCTTTGCCTTCTGCCACGATTGTGTTTCTTTTCTAAGGTCTCCCCAGCCATGCTGAACTGTGAGTCAGTTAAACTTCTTTCCTTTATAAATTACCCACTCTCGGGTATTTCTTTACAGCAATGTGAGAACAGATTAATTCACATGTCATCCTTGCACAGGGGCCATGCTGATCTTCTCTGTGTCATTCCTTAATTTATTACTGAAGAAAGAAAAATACTTGTTACACATTTAGCATAGCCTACGTGTACAATGTTTATCAAGTCCACAGCAGTGTACAGTAATGCCCTAGGCCTTCACATTCACTCACCACTCACTCACTCATTGACTCATCCAGGGCAACTTCCGTTCCTGTAAGCCTCGTCCATGGTAAGTGCGCCATTCAGGTGTACCATTTTTATCTTTTTGTAATTGTAATTTTAATTAAAATAAATTTTTTTTATAGAGTTGAGGTCTTGCTTCGTTGCCTAGGCTGGTGTTGAACTGCTGGCTTCAAGTGATCCTCCCACCTTGGCTTCCCAAAGTGCTAGGATTACAGGCATAAGCCACTGTACCCAGCCCATTTTTATCTTTTTTTTTCATTTTAAATTTAGTTTATTGGTTAAATCATGACATAGAAGTTCACTGTTCAAAAAATCATTAAAGATTATTGTGGCCGGGTGTGGTGGCTCACGCCTGTAATCCCAGCACTTTGGGAGGCCGAAGCAGGTGGATCATGAGGTCAGGAGTTCAAGATCAGCCTGGCCAATATGGTGAAACCCCGTCTCTACTAAAAAAAATACAAAAATTAGCTGGGCATGGTGGTGTGCGCCTGTAGTCTCAGCTACTCGGGAGGCTGAGGCAAGAGAATCGCTTGAACCTGGGAGGCAGAGGTTGCAGTGAGCCCAGATCGTGCCACTGCACTCCAGCCTGGGCGACAGAGTGAGACTCCGTCTCAAAACAAACAAACAAACAAAAAAACCAAAAAAGATTACTGCAAATAGCTGAAGACCTAGATCCTGAGACACAATTGCATTTGTTATGCATCTTAAAGTTTAATATTTTTATTGTACCATACAGGTTAGTACTGTTATTGTCAGTATGTACTTTCATAAAAACATATAGTATGAATCATTTTCTTTTAAAAATGCTTCAAGGCAGGGCACGGTGGCTCATGCCTGTAATCCCAGCACTTTGGGAGGCTGAGGTGGGGGGATCATGAGGTCAAGAGATTGAGATCATCCTGGCCAACATGGTGAAATCCTGTCTCTACTAAAAATACAAAATTAGCCAGGCATGGTGGCGGGCACGTTTAGTCCCAACTACTTGGGAGGCTGAGGCAGGAGAATGGCTTGAACCCAGGAGGTGGAGGTTGCAGTGAGCTGAGATCGCACCACTGCACTCTAGCCTGGGTGACAGAGCAAGACTCTGTTTCAAAAAAAAAAAAGTTTCTAAACCTTTTAAAATGTGTGTAATATAGAATACATACAAAAAATACATTTAAATGCACAGAATAATGGATTATTATGAAGTGAACCCAAGGACAATGGCCTAATGACTTTAGAAATAAACACCGTCAGTATTCCCAAAGTCCCATACCTACGTGTTCATTGCCTAACCTTTTGAGAATTTCTTCTTCTTTTTTTTGTTTTCAACTTTTATTTTAGGTTCAGAGGTACATGTACAGGTTTGTTATGTAGGTAAATATCATGTCACTGGGGTGTGCTGTATAGATTATTTCATTACCCAGGTAATAAGCATGATGCCTGCTAGGTTGTTTTTCCATCCTCACCCTCTTCCCACTCTCCACCCTCAGGTGGGCCCCTGTGTGTATTGTTCTCCTCTTTGTGTTCACGTGTACTCAGTGTTTTGCTCACACTTATAAGTGAGAACATGCTGGATTTGGTTTTCTTTTCCTTTGTTAGTTTGCTTAGGATAATGGCCTCTAGCTCCATCCATGTTGCTGCAAAGGACATTATTTTGTTCTTTTTCATGGCTGTGTAGTGTTCCATGGTATATATGTACTATATATATATATTTTTTTTTACCATTTTTATCTTTTATACCACTTTTTTTTTTTTTTTTTTTTTGAGACGGAATCTCTCTCTGTCACCCAGGCTGGGGTGCAGTGGCATGATCTCAGCTCACTGCAACCTCCGTCTCCTGGGTTCAAGTGATTCTCCTGCCTCAGCCTCCCGAGTAGTATACCATATTTTTACTGTACCTCTTATATGGTTAGATACACAAATACATTGTGTTACAGTTGCCTACAGTATTCAGTCCAGTAATGTGCAGTACAGGTTAGCAGCTCAGGAGCAAAGGGCTCTACCATAGACCCTTGGTGCACAGTAGGCGATACCATCTAGCTTTGTGTAAGCACACTCTGATATTCACATGATGATAAAATCACCTAATGAGGCATTTTTCAGAACATATTTCTATCATTAAGAGATTTGTGGCCAGGTGTGGCGGCTCATGCCTGTAATCCCAGCATTTTGGGAGGCTGAAGCAGGCAGATCATTGAGGTCAGGAGCTCGAGACCAGCCTGGCCAACATGGCAAAACCCCGTCTCTACCAAAAATACAAAAATTAGCCAGGTATGGGGGTGTGTGCCTGTAATCCCAGCTACTAGGGAGGCTGAGGCAGGACAATTGCTTGAACACAGGCAGCGGAGGTTGCAGTGAGCTGAGATTGCGCCACTGCACTCCAGCCTGGGCAGCAGAGGAAGAGTCTGTCTCAAAAAACAAAAACAAAAACAAAAAAACATTTGTAACTGCGTATGTTATGTATGCATGTATGTATCTATTTATCTATCTATCCATCTATCTGATGACTTTCTTTTCTCTCCAGGATGTATGGTGTTTTAGAAGAAATAATAGCTCAGTGGCACAAAGGATCAGAGAAATTCACACCTGAGATGTGGGAATCAATGACAAAGACAAAGATCTCTTCCCAGAGAATATTCTCCTTCATGCAGGAGCCCAGGAATACTATGCGACACTTGATACTAGCCCTGAGTATTGGCAGGTCCTGTACCTCCCATCTGAGGTGTGGTCATTTCTCCCACTTCTAAGAGTAAATGAATTATCATTCCCATCTTGATTGACTCATTTAACAAGAATAAGAAGCTCATATCTCAAGTAAGGGCTGGACCATGAGACCATGTGTCTTAGTCTGTTTGGCTGCCATAACAAAATACCTTAGACTGGGTCATTTATAAACAACAGAAATTGGTTGCTCACAGTTCTGAGGCTGGAAGTCCAAGATCAAGGTGCCAGTGGACTTGGTGTGTGGGGAGGGTGCTCTGCTCCATGAGCGGTGTGCTGTTGCTGTGTCATCATTTTGCCCAAGTGTCTTTTATAAGGACTCTAATCTCATTCACAAGAGTGGAGCCCTCCTGACTTAATCACTCCCCAGGGGCCTCATCTCTTCATACTACTACATTGGGTTTTAGGTTCCACCTATGAATTTTGGGAGACACCAACTTTCAGACCATAACAGCATGGTCCGTCAGCTGGTGAAGAAACAAACTGAGGTATAGCCACATAATGAAACAGTACTCAGCAATAGAAGGAATGGATGAATCTCAAAATAATTATACTGAGTGAAAGAAGCCAGAAAAAAAAAGAGTATGTATGGTTCAACATCTATAAAATTGGAGGCAATGCAAACACACCTACAATGACAAATCAGTGGCTGCCTATGGTTGGCAGGGTGGGTGTGGATCACAAACAGGCGTGAGAAAACTTTTATTATTTTTTCTTTTTTTTGAGAGGGAATCTCGCTCTGTCACCCAGGCTGGAGTGCAGTGGCGTGATCTCGGCTCACTGCAACCTCCATCTCCAGGGTTCAAGTGATTCTCCTGCCTCAGCCTCCTGAGTAGCTGGGATTACAGGCGCGCACCACCAAACCCGGCTAATTTTTTTGTATTTTTAGTAAAGATGGGGTTTCCCCATGTTGGCCAGGCTGGTCTTAAACTCCTGATCTCAAGTGATCTGCCCGCCTCGGCCTCCCAAAGTGCTGGGATTACAGGCGTAAGCCACAGTGCCTGACCAGAAAACTCTTGAGGGTGATGGATACGTTTATTATCTTGATTGTGGTGTTGGAGACATGGGAGCATATGTCCAAACTCATCAAATTGTATACCTTAAATATGTGGTGTTTATTTTATTTATTTATTTATTTATTTATTTTTGAGACAGGGTCTCGCTCTGTTCCAGCTGGAGTGCAGTGGCTTAAACATGGCTCAGCGAAGCCTTGACCTCCTGGGCTCAAGCCATCTTCCTGTCTTAGTCTCCCAAGTAGCTGGGACCACAAGTGCCCACAACCATGCTTGGCTAATTAAACAAATTTTTTTTTATAGAAATGGGGTTCCACTATGTTGTCCAGGCCGGTCTTAAACTCCTGGGCTCAAGTGATCCACCTGCCTTGGCCTCCCCAGTGGTTGGGATTATAGGCATGAGTCACAGCACCTTTGCTGTTTATTGTGTACCAATTATACCTCGACAAAGATGAACAAACAAAAAGAATATCTAAGCTGGGCCCAATGGCTCGTACCTGTAATCCTAGCATTTTGGGAAGTTGGGGTTGGAGAATCATTTGAGGCCAGGAGTTCGAGACCAGCATGGGCAAGGTAATGAGACCTCGTCTCTACCAATAAATACATAAATAAATAAATAAATAAATAAATAACTGAATAAATTAGCTGGACATGGCAGCACATGCCTGTAGCCTCAGTTGCTCAGGAGGCAGAGGCAGGAGGATGGCTTGAGGCTTCCCCAGCCAGGAAGTTGGGGCTGCAGTGCCTCTGCACTCCAGCTTGGGTGACAGAGCACGACTCTGTCTCAGAAAACAAGCAAACAAAGAAACAAACAAAAAGAATGTTGAAAGGAGGGCAATCTACAATAATTCTTAATGAGAAGATGGGAAAAGACTATGAAAATCTTTTGGACCACGCAGATGCTCACCAGTTCTCATTGATAAATCTTTCAAAACAGCTGCTCAACTTAAAGACGATTCTGTAGACTTTTGTTATGTAAAAAGACAGTGTTCCAAATTTGCTGACATTTTCTGACATGGTAAGTTGTTCTCAGAGACACAACTCCACAACTCCTGGCAGATTTTTTTTTTTTTTGAGATGGAGTTTGACTCTTGTCACCCAGGCTGGAGTGCAATGGTACGATCTCAGCTCACTACAACCTCTGCCTCCCGCGTTCGAGCAATTCTCCTGCCTCAGCCTCCTGAGTAGCTGGGATTACAGGTACGTGCCACCATGCCCAGCAAATTTTTGTATTTTTAGTAGAGACAGGGTTTCATCATTTTGGCCGGGCTAGTCTCGAACTCTTGACCTCAGGTGATCCACCTGCCTTGGACTCCCAAAGTGCTGGGATTATAGGCGTGAGCCATTGTGTCCGGCTGCAGATATTTTTGAAAACAAAAATAAAAACAGATGTATAACCTGATTCCTCATGGTTAGAGGAGATATTCTAAAATTGAGTATGCTAGTAACTACTTTTCAAAAGGAACTTTCAAAAATATTTTAAAAACAGATGTTTGGAACTATTTCTATTATTACGTGACTTTGTTACTGAAAATGATGTGTGTCGCTTTTAAAAAATCCATTCTTTCCCACTTCAAAAGTTGGCATCCCATACATATGTATACCTACTATGTACCCATAAAAATTATTTAAAAAGTTGGAACCAGAATCTTCTAACTTGCTTAAAATGTTTCACATTAAATTATCAGGCTTTCAAAGCATTTATTAAAATTACCAAAATGGAACACCCTCTGATTATTTATTTTGCAAGAACAACTGGTTGGATCAGAGAGGATTAAATTTGCTAGTGAATTTCAAGAAACAACTTCTGTGTAATTGATGAATGAGATTAATAAATATTTTAATTTAATAAACACAATATCTTTTTTCCATTTGTCTGTACTTATCTTTGTGAGATGCCTTTTTTAGCTAAGGTACTCATGAAAACCAAGTAATGAAATAACATGAACTTAAAACCAGACCTTCAAATTGCCCCATCATAAAGTATTAAAACAATATTTTAAAAAATTATGCAAAATTTAAAATCACATTGCTTGCTCTAAAATATTAATACAATCTATATATGCATAATACAGATTATATTTTATATGTACACACAATATTACTATTCCTTTTTTTTTTTTTAGGACGGAGTCTCGCTCTGTCACACAGGCTGGAGTGCAATGGCGCGTTCTCGGCTCACTGCAACCTCCACCCCCAGGTTTAAGCAATTATCTGCCTCAGCCTCCAGAGTACCTGGGATTACATGTGTGTGCCACCATGCCCGGCTAATGTTTTGTATTTTTAGTAGAGACAGGGTTTCACCATCTTGGCCAGGCTGGTCTTGAACTCCTGACTTCGCGATCCGCCCACCTTGGCCTCCCAAAGTGCTGGGATTACAGGCGTGAGCCACTGCGCCTAGTCATAATATTACTATTCTTAATGAAATAAAATGTTTTTTGGTACCATTCATAAATAAAGTAAAGCAAGCATTATTTTAGAAAACCCACTAATGTACTACTAAGGATGCAAGATGAAAAATGTGGTGACCTCTATTCTAGTGATGTTTCTGAAGATGCTGTAATTCTCTAGGTACTAGCACCCCTGGGATGCTACCCTCCCCGCACAACTAGTGACTGTGATCTGTGGGAACTGGCTGGGCTTACTGCTTGAACCCAGTCTTGTTCTAAAGATAGTTACGGAGTTTGTGTATACAAATTCAGTGTGCTGTCTTGGTTTTATTGGAACAGTCTCAGGTCTATAGCATGTCTAAAGCAATCAGTAATCACATTTGGATGTTGTGTTAGAATACGTGGTTATGATATGGTTTAATGTAATGACCTCCAAAAATAGCATAACACTCAGATGACTGTAAATTATTAATCAAGTCAATGTGGACTGGGAAGCACAGGTCCCAGAAGCAGCTGACCAAGCAAGTTTTATTACAGAAGACAGCACCCTAGCTATCCTTGAGCCATAACAATATCCATAAAAAACCCTCTGTATAGGCTCATTAGGGAGGCCAGAGTGATTTAGGGAATTATTTTGCAACGAATAAAAGCCTAACATTGACAAAAGTGAGAAGCCAGAGTGGAAATACTGTGATGATTTAGACTGCTTCTTGACTTCGGCTGGACCTTCAGGCCACCTGGGGCACTAGTATTTAAACACACACACAAAAAGTCCTCAAGGTATTCCGATATGCAGCCATGGTTGAGAACCACTTTTACAACCATAATCATCATTGCATTTGCTTCACTTTCACTTCTGGACATGATAGAGAAACTGGTACCCGACTTGCCCTCTGCTAAAAACGATAAAAGTAGACAGAATATATGCATCGACTGTTTTGGGGCATTGAGTAACAGGCAATGCTGGACTGGGATCATGAGATATGGGAAACACAAGATGAGCCCCAGGATCACCTGGCTTTCTGCCTGCTTTGGCACAGGGAAGTGAGATCCAAGCTGAGCAGTGACTTTACTGAGATGAAGAGGCAGAAATTGGGGCTTGGGGCTGCTGAAGTAGCTGAAGTCTGCAGAACAGGGTACTAGAGAAGAAGAGAGTTGTTCAGGACAATGAAGTCTGTGTGGGAAGTCTTTATGTGAATCCTTAACTTAGGACTAGGCTGTGATTGTCCAAGGCAGGCCTCCACGAGGCCTGTGCTGGGGCTGAGAGCGGCACAGTAATACTAGAACTTGCACGTTGCTTGGAGATGTTAGCGCTCTGGCCTAATGTGAACATTTTGGGCATTCGGGTGAGACCTAGAAAGGCTATGCCTTGGGAGTAAGGGCTATGCCTTGGGAGTAAGGACTATGCCATAAAGCAAGAACAATACTTTAGGACTAAGCTTTAAACCAAAATAGTTTCCTCCCAAACAAAGAATAATACTAGCCTAGCCTGATCAAAAGGATATAACAGTAATTTAAATGCCTGCCAGAACAAAACTCAACATCTTATACAGGAAGATGACATAATCCAAACTCCCTACGTCGTATCATTCACAATGTCCACCACACGATAACAAATTAGTAGACGTGCAAAGAAGCAGAAAAATGTGACCCATGATCAAGAAGAAAAAGCTATCAGTAACATCTAGATCCAATTGGTCTAAATGTTGAACTCAGCAGAGAAAGACTCTGAACAACTAATCTAAAAATATCCAAAGACTTAAAGAAAAGCATCGTCCTAATAAGATCAATGAGGAGTCTCAGCAGAGAAATGGGTTGATAAAAAAGGACCAATGGAAATGCTAAAACGAAAAATTACAATCTGTAAAATAAAAGTTTCACTGCTTAGCAACAGACTGCAGAAGAAAGGGCTGATGAATCTGAAATAAAGCAATAGAAATGATCAGATTTGAAGAATGAGAAGAAAAAACGAGCAGAGGTGTAGTGACTTATAGGGCAATTTCAAGTTGTCTAAATCATATGTAATTAGAATCCCAGTAAATGAAAAGAAAGAGAATGGCAGAAAAATTGTTGAAAGAAATAATAGCCTTGATCCCTCAAATTTAATGATAAACATCAGTCTACAGATACAGGAAGCTTGGAGAACCCTAAACAAGAGAACAAGAGAACTATACCTCAGTATATAATAGTCAATTTTATTTTACTTTATTTTTTTCAGACAGGGTCTTGCTCTGTCGCCCAGGCTGGAGTGCAGTGGCATGATCACAGCTAGACCTGTGTAGCCTAGACCTCCCAGGCTCAGGTGATCCTCCCACCTCAGCCTCCCATATAGCTGGGACCACAGGTGCACGCCACCGTGCCTGGCTAATTTTTAAAAGTTTTTGTAGAGACAAGGTCTCATTACGTTGTCCAAGCTGGTCTCGAACTCCTGGGCTCAAGTGATCCTCCCGCCTTGGCCTTCCAAAGTGTTGGAATTACAAGCGTGAGCCACTGTGCCCGGCTGATAGTCAAATTTATATTATAGAACACAAATTCAACAGTGGCAGAATCACATTGTCAACGCCAGCAGCATCAGGACAACAGGGAAGGAACGCCACAGTCACAGCCATAGGGGAACCCAGCTTTTTTGATGATGACAACCACCCAGGTACCTGTTAAGATACAAGTCCCTGGCCTCCATCCCAAGCCCACTGATCAGAGTCACTGGGGGAGCTGGGTGGTTAAAAAGCAACCAGATAACTCTCACTCTGGGCAAGTCAGGAAACTGCCGGAATTCCCTTTACTGAGGAGTGGCCGACTGGTGATTGTCTTGGAAAATAAGAAAGGTTGTGTTTTTTCAGTGTGATAAATTTAAAAATATTCTGTTAAATAGTATTTGCTTTGTTTTTTAATGTTTCACAAATTGATATTGATTAGTAGACAAAAGGATTGACCTGGCACAAACTTTACTTAGTTGGTGGAGATCCACAAAGCGATAATTATGCAGTCATAATTTGTGAAAACCCAGTATGCTAAAATCAATCCGTTTTCGGTAGAATGTTCTAATTCATGCCTCTTATCCAGTAAATATACATAAGCATTTTAACGATGTATAGAAACTCTTTCTTTTGTCAAAAATAGACAGGCCCACAGCACTATGATTTTGTGACCAGCTGCCCAACATAAGAAGGGCTGTATCCCCCTGTTGTTATTTATGTGAATCCGTAGAAGTCAGACTATCATCCATTTTTTTTTTTTTTTTTTTTTTTTTTGAGACAGAGTCTCACTCTGTTGCCCAGGCTGGAGTGCAGTGGCTCACTGCAAGCTCCACCTCCCAGGTTCACGCCATTCTCCTGCCTCAGCCTCCGGAGTAGCTGGGACTACAGGCACCCGCCACCATGCCTGGCTAATTTTTTGTATTTTTAATAAAGGCAGGGTTTTGCCATGTTGGCCAGGCTGGTCTATAACTCTTGACCTCAGGTGATCCGTCCACCTTGGCCTCCCAAAGTGCTGGGATTACAGGCATGAGCCACCGTGCCCGGCCAGACTATCATTCTTAAGAAGCAATTCCTTTAAAAATATAATCAGGCCAGGTGTGGTGGTTCATGCCTGTGATCCCAGCACTTTCGGAGGCTGCAGCAAGCGGATCACTTGAGGCCAGGAGTTCGAGACCAGCCTGGCTAACATGGGGAAACCCCATCTCCACTAAAAATACAAAAAAAATTAGCCAGGTGTGGTGGTGCATGCCTGTAATCCCAGCTACTTGGGAGGCTGAGGCAGGAGAATCACTTGAACCAGGGAGGCAGAGGTTGCAATGAGCCGAGATTGCACTACTGCCCTCCAGCCTGGGCAACAGAGTGAGATCGTCTGAAAAACAAACAAACAAACAAAAAAAACCCAAAAAAACAGGTCAGGTACAGTGGCTCACTCTTGTAATCCCAGCACTGTGGGAGGCTGAAGCAGGCGGATCACCTGAGGTCCGGAGTTTGAGACCAGCCTGGCCAATATGGCGAAACCCTGTCTCTACTAAAAATAAAAAAAAATTAGCCAGGTGTGGTGGCACATGCCTGTAATCCCAGCTACTCAGGAGGCTGAGGCAGGAAAATTGCTTGAACTGGGAGACGGAGGTTGCAGTGAGCCGAGATTGCACCACTGCACTCCAGCCTTAGCGACAGAGCGAGACTCCATCTCAAAAAAAAAAAAAAAAAAAAAAAAAAATCCGATTTCATTCTGGTCAACCAAATTTGACCAGAATGGGAAATCACATTTGAGCTATAGCTATAGTATTCTTTCAGCTCTCCAAAGGGAATCACTAAACCATTTCTGTCTGGGAAGATAATAGCAGGAGGTAGAGAGACGATCATTAAATGACTATTGAAGCTCTTATTACAACCAACCATGATGTCACTCTCTCCCCGTAGATTTCTGCATTCATTGCATTTCATGTTTTTTAGCTTCAGAGTAATCTGGTTGTAATTGCTAAGGTTGTCTGGGTTTCAGGTATCAGAAACCAACTCTGTAATTATTTTGAATGAAAAGGGAATTTACTGGAAGTTGGCCCAAGCATTTCAAGGCATTTGAACAACTGCACTTTGAAAAGGGCAGGACCTAGGAAGGCACTAGAAACCTGGACAATTGTGGGTCTTTAGTGTGCTGCTGTTAATGTGACTTGTCAACAATTGCCAGTCTGTTTCTTCCTTTCCGTCTTCAAAATCCCAGCTTCCTCTGTGAGGGAATGTGACTTGTTTACCTTGGGTCACTTGTCCTCTTGCAGACCTGTCAGCCCTGGGGGCACAGGATTTCATGGCTGCAACATGCTTGTTGACTGGGGCGGGGAAGTTATGGGTTTATCCTCTTCATTCTCTCCCTGGACACTAGTCACACTCATAGTTTCTGCTTTCCCTTCATTTAACTCACATTCAAATTTTTATTTCTGGCTGGGCACGGTGGCTCATGCCTGTAATTGCAGCACTTTGGGAGGCCAAGGCGAGCAGATTGCTTGAGCCCAGGAGTTCAAGACCAGCCTGGGAAACATGGTGAAACCCCGTCTCTACAAAAAATACAAAATGTAACCAGCCATGGTGGTGTAGGCCTGTAGTCCCAGCTAGGGAGGCTGAGGTAGGAGAATCACCAGAGCCTGGGGAGGTTGAAGCTGCAGTGAGCTGTGATCATGCTGCTGCACTCCATCCTGGGTGACAGAGCCAGATCCTGTCTCAAAAACAAACAAAACAAACAAGCAAACAAACAAACACTTAATTTCTAGCCATTGCCTTCCTTCCAAGTTTGAAGCCCTCGCCTTTGACCCCCGGCTTTGCGTTTCTATCTGGATGTTCCACCTGATCCAGACTCAGTTTCCCCCCGTATCCCTCCCTTGCCTCAGCCACAGTGCGCATCTGCTGTATGGTGGTTATTGAGGATATCAAAGTGGATAAAATGTCCCTACTATGCTCTAGTGGCGCAGACAGGCAAGTCAGACAGAGGAGGTATTGGTTCTTGCTGGGGCCTTTTGAGTTAGACCTGAGGAGAGGTGGAAGGACTCTCTGAGCAGAGGCCCCTGCGGATGAGCCCATCACAGACAGGGCACCTGTTGGGAGGTGGCCCAGAGGAAGCTGGGAGGGCAGGTGGGGGCCCAGGTCAGCACAGTAGTAGAGGATCAGAGCCACGTGGCGGGGAGCAGCTCCTGCAGGCTTCCGGGGCAGTGAAGTCCCAGCTGAGACTGTGGCCAGCGGGAGTCGGCAGGTGAAAAGGAGGGAGGAAGGTAGGGAGAGCAGCAGGCGCAGAAACTAGTGCCCCTCACATTTAGTCCGCACTGGAAACCAAGTTCAACGTTCTCCGTGGACAGGATTCCGCACAAGTAGTCAATTTTCTGTTCTGAGACTGGCTTCGTTTCTGTCTCTCTCTTCTCTGATTCCAGCTCCTATTTGAGTGCTTGTGCATAATCAGAGTTTGATTATTTTAAAGCATTCTTTTTCCACTCTAAGTACATAATCATTGTAGAAAATCTGAAAGCAGAGGAACCCCTTAGAGGGCGAAATCACAGTCAGCCTTCAAACTCAAAGACACGGTAGGTACTTGGCACTGTCTTTCATTTCCTCCTGTGCTGTGATCTGCTCTGATGAGTGTGACTATACCAAATCCAGGACTGCGCCACGCCTCCTAAACTCCGACTCCTGGACGACACTGCAGCTTCCTCCGCTGCCTTGGGGACACGCCCCACTCGCTGTCAAAGCGCCCTGGAGTCTCCTCGCATCTCCCTTCCCTGGGCTCCACCCTTGGGGGCCCCCGGCTGTGGCTCCCACTCTGGGCCTCAGCTCCCGGGAACCCAACCCACTCCCTTTCGCTCCTCGGCCTTCTCCTGCCGCCTTCTCTGGAAGGCTCCCTCATCCTCTGTCGTAGTCCAGGGCTCCCTCCTAGACCTGCGGCCCCGGCACTGCGGCCATTCCTTGGTGCCCCGCCCGCCCTCCACCACCGAGCACGTCCTGCTTTTCTCCTGGGCTTCCTGGTGTCCACCAGGAGTTGAACTTCCTCTCTGTGTCCCCCTTGCCTGGCTCAGTGTCTGGGACAAGCTCTGTGCTCCTCTGCCCTACGTCCTTCCCATGGCCCACTGTCCCGAGCCCTCTGTCCTGTGGCTTGCTGTCCCGAGGCCCTTTCTCCTGTTCTCTGGCGGTGTGGCAATCTGTGTTCCCTTGGATGCATCTGTCCCTACCTCCGGGGCTCGACAGTCCCCTCTGCCTGGGAAACTCTTGCGGGCTGTCTGCATGGCTCCCGCCCCTTTTCAGGAGGTCCGCTGACTGCTCTCCTTACTGTTCCCTACCTGCCCCCAGCAGCTAGCAGGCCGTCGGTCCCTCATAAAATGTGTTGCTGACCTCGCACCCAGTACGCAGTGAACACGGGCGGGGAACGTCCGCGCAGGGGCGGGCACACCCTCATTAAATGCAGCCCCAGCACTCCCACCTGGGTCAGCCTCCGGGCGACTCCGGGCTGCTGCAGCGCCACCGGCGCGCTTTCTGCCCACTGCTGCCCACTGCCTTCCTCTTTCAGTTGGGTCACAGATCGCTACACCGTTCCCATCGCCCTCCTGCTCGAACAGTTCCTTCTCTTTCCTGGCAGTGAGACCTCAAACGCTCCGGCGTGGGACTAAGGCCTCCGCCATCATTTCCCCGAGTTCCCTGCCTTTGACAATTCATCAAATAGCGCTAGCTCTTTTTGTGTCTTAAATGTAAGCGGTAATGAGTAAAATCAGTGTCTCCCTGACTAGTGCTCCAAATGCTAATGGTGACAAAGGCAATCAGGTGTCACCTGAAGTAACACTTGTAACATCAAGTAACATCTGAATTCTGTTGGGCAAGGCCTTTATCATGAAGTTGTCATTATGAGAAAATAAATGAGACTAGCTTCCTGTTAGAAAGCACACACTGGGAAAATCACAAATAGGAAATTCAAGATTAACTCTTGCTAGGGAGAATAATCATTCTAATAATCATATATATATATATATATATATATATATATATATATATATATATTTTTTTTTTTTTTTTTTTTTTTTTTTTTTTTTTAGATGGAGTTTCGCTCTTATTGCCCAGGCTGGAGTGCAATGGCACTATCTCGGGCGATGTCCGCTCACGGCAACCTCCGCCTCCCGGGTTCAAGCGATTCTCCTGTCTCAAACTCCCGAGTAGCTGGGATTGCAGACATGGCCACCACGCCTGGCTAATTTTGTATTTTTAGCAGAGACGGGGTTTCTCCATGTTGATCAGGCTGGTCTCGAACTCCTGACCTCAGGTGATCCACTCGCCTCAGCCTCCCAAAGTGCTGGGATTATAGGCGTGAGCCACCGCGCCCGGCCAATAACACATATTTTTAAAGGCAAAGCTTCCCATGGTACTGATAAACCAAGAAAGATAACTGGATGAGGTGGATAGCATGGGTCTCATATACAAGGAGAACTGCATTTTCCTAAAGGGAACATCCCCAAGAGTGTTTTTGTCTTTTGATTCAAATTGAAAAGACACATATTTGATCTTTATTGTATGAGGGGTTTTATAAGGTCACAAATATAAGATTTTGTGTCACAAATATGCATTTTTGTCTTGGGTTTCATATTTGGACAGAAAAATATCACCTTATATTTGGGCAAATGTAACAAATGTCTCCTTCTGAAATAATGGATTTAGAAATCTTGGATTTCTATGATTTGAATTAAGATGATTAAAAGTTACAGAATTGGCTGGGTGTGGTGGCTCATGCTTGTAATCCCAGCACTTTGGGAGGCCGAGGCCGGCAGATCACCTGAGGTCAGGAGTTCGAGATCAGCCTGGCCAATATGGAGAAATCCCATCTCTACTAAAAAATGCAAAAAATTGCCAGGCGTGGTGGTGCATGCCTGTAATCCCAGCTACTCAGGAGGCTGAGGCAGGAGAATTACTTGAACTCAGGAGGTGGAGGTTGCAGTGAGTTGAGATCACACCACTGCATTTCAGCCTGGGCGACAGAATGAGACCCTGTCTCAAGAAAAAAAGAAAGTCTACAGAATTGTTCAGGATCCCCACATAAAGATGAGTTTCCCTGGACAGAGATGAGGTTAGGACACTGGAAGGCTATGTGCAGACTGGAGGGACCAGATGGGCGGAGGACAGGGCTGAGCAAGGTTGGTCCCAGGACCAGCCTCAGTGGCAATTTCCATGGCAGGGCTGCTGCCTTCCTGTAAATAACCCAAGGATATTTACATACACATCCTCCAGGATGTGTATCAACTGATAACTAACTCAGAGGAGAGCAATCAGATCTCCATCTTTGCTTCCTGCTCAAAATCCCCCAAGTAGGGCAGGAAGAAGAGCATGTTGACCCAAACTCTCAGCTTCTATAACCAGTTTTGATTTTCTGCTTTGATATTTGGTAGGAATTTTGTCCTGTGGACAGTATTATTTATTTTATTTTATTTTATTTATTTATTTTTTTTGAGACAGAGTCTGGCTTTGTGCCCCAGGCTGGAGTGCAGTGGTGCAATCTCGGCTCACTGCAAGCTCTGCCTCCGGGATCATGCCATTCTCCTGCCTCAGCCTCCCGAGTAGCTGGGACTACCGGCGCCTGCCACCATGCCCGGCTAATTTTTTTTTTTGTATTTTTAGTTGAGACAGGGTTTCACTGTGTTAGCCAGGATGGTCTCGATCTCCTGACCTCGTGATCTGCCCGCCTCAGCCTCCCAAAGTGCTGGGATTACAGGCGTGAGCCACCGTGCCTGGCTGACAATATTTATTTATTAAGGAGTTAGTAATACTGACATCCCATTAAAAAAAATTGGGTCATTCCTCTGCTAAAAATCTTGGAATAACTCTGCATTGCACCCAGAGGAAAGCCAATGGAGTCCTTGAAATGATCCTCAATGCTCAACATGATTAGGTTCTATTACCTCTTTGAGCTCTTCTTTATTTAAAAAAAAATATTTGTTTCCTTTCCAACTTTTATTTTTGGTTCAAGGGGTACATGTGCAGGTTTGTTATATGGGTAAATTGCATATCACAGGGGTTTGGTGTACAGATTATTTTGTCACCCAGGTAATAAGCATACTACCTGAGAGGCAGTGTTTTGATTCTCATCCTCCTCCCACCTTCTACCCTCAAGTAGGCCCTGGTGTCTATTATTCCCTTCTTTGTATCCATGTTTACTCAATGTTTAGCTCCCACTTATAAATGAGAACATGTGGTATTGGGTTTTCTGTTCCTGCATTAATTTGCTTAGGGTAATGACCTCCAATGGCATCTATGTTGCTGCAAAGGACATGATCTTGTTCTTTTTTATGGCTGTGTTGTATTCCATATCGATCTCTTCTTTTACTACTTTTCTGCTCGTTCACTCTGTTCCAGTCACACTGGCCTTGCTATTCTTTGAATGCCAAATGCTTTCACTGCTATAAGTTTATACAGATTTTAAAATTTTCTTCTTGCATTATAAGTTGTATCTTTCCAGGAATTTGTTCTTTCTAATTTGTTAAACTTGTTGACATAAATTGTTTATAATATTCTATTATACTTTTAAGTTGTTCATTAGTAGTACTTTGATTATCCTTTTAGTGTCTGTAGGATCTGTAGAAATGCCTCCTCTTTTTTCCCCCGATATTGTATCTTCTTTTTTCTTGATCAGTCTAGCTAAAGAATTTTCAATTTTATTTTTCCGCTGAAATAACTTTTGGTTTTATTGATTATTATCCTGTCTTCTGTTGTTATTATACTTTCATCTTTGTTAATTTCTGCTTTGATCTTTATTACTTCCTTTTCTTAACTTTAAGTTTAATTTGCTCCTGTTTTTCTAGTTTCTTAGGGAGGGCCCTAGATAATTTATCTTACACCTTTCTTTTTTATTACAAGTGTTTAAAGCTATAAATGTTCCTATAAACTTTAGTAGACACATTTTAATAAGTTGTGTTTTCATTTTCATTCAGTTCAAGATATTTTCTCAGTTCTCTTGATATTTATTCTTAGATCCTTGGGTTATTTAAAACTGTTATTTCATTTGCACTGACTTAGCTTATATACTTTTAAACTTTTATGCTGAAAAATTTGAAGTCTACAGGAAAGTTGCAAGAATAACACAGAGAATACCCATAAACCCTTCATCTAATTTTGCTATTAAGATTTTACCAGTTCTCTTTTCCCCTCTCTCTTTCCATATTCTTGTTAGTATTTTTATTTCTTCGACATTATTAGATTTGAGAATATGTTACTGACATGATGACTTACCTTTAAGTACTTCAGTGTATGTGTCTTAAGAACAAAGACATTATCTTACATAAATATAGCAGAATTATCAAACTCAGAAAATTTAACACTCATGATATTCATATCTAAAATATAGTCTATATTCAAATTTCCCAATAATGTCCTTTGTTGTTGCTTTCTCCTTTTTTCTCTCCCCTCCCCCTTCCCTTCCCTTCCCTTCTGTTTCCTCCCCTCCCCTCCCTTCCCCTCCCCTCCCCTCCCTTCCCCTCCCCTCCCTTCCCCTCCCCTCCCCTCCCCTCCTTTCCCCTCCCCTCCCCTCCCCTCCCTTCCCCTCCCCTCCCCTCCTCTCCCCTCCCCTTCCCTTCCCTTTCTTTCTTCCCTCTCTCTTTCTTTCAAGTAGAGACAGAATCTCTCTATGTTGCTCAGGTTGGTCTCGAATCCCTGGCCTCAAGTGATCCTCCTGCTTTGGCCTCCCAAAGAGCTGGGATTACAGGCATGAGCTACTGTGCCTGGCCAGAACTCAAACTTACGTATATTGTAAAAATTACAATATGCATGCATATTTGTACATGTATGTAATTTGTATATTGTAATTTTTTAATAGTACATTTATAAAATCATTATAAAATGAAGTTCTGGATTAGACTGTCTTGTTGGTCAATCAGTAAAATGAATTATTTTGTTTATTTATTTGAGACAGAATCTTGCTCTGTTGCCCAGGCTGCAGTGCAGTGGCACAATCTTGGCTCACAGCAACCTCTGCCTCCTGAGTTCAAGTGATTCTCCTGCCTCAGCCTCCTGAGTAGCTGGGATTACAGGCACGCGCCAACACACCCAGCTAATTTTGTATTTTTAGTAGAGATGGGATTTCACCATGTTCACCAGGCTGGTTTCAAACTCCTCACCTCAGGTGATCTGCCCACCTCAGCCTCCCAAAGTGCTGGGATTACAGGTGTGAGCCACCATGCCTGGCCTCTTTTGTTTTCAAATCTGCAGAAACTCAAGTATATATCAAAGCATTGTTATGTAATTTCAGAAATTTTGGTCGTAGAAGATTTAAATTGTAGCAGCAGCATGCTCTGTTATCCATGCTCCCTCTGTTTCAATGTCCTGAGGCCCTTTGGCTAACATCCTAAGTCCTATGTCTGTGTTCTCTGTGATGAAGCAGGTAATGTATACTTGTTCTTTTGTTAGCCTTGATCTGCAGATGAAATTGAATTCAGTGGACTGAGCCGTCTGCGGCCTCTTTCCCAGAATCTCAGAGGCTCTGACAGGGGTTCAGGGTTGAGTTGCTTCCAGGGTCAGCCTAATGGCTCTGCTTCTAGATGCTGCTGAATTGACCTGATCAGTGCCTTCTTGGTCTGAAAGAGTTAATGTGTTGACTTAAGTCCGCTATTCCGAGGGAGTGTTTGGTGCAGTCTTAAGTATCAGAATATTTTAGCAGGTGGTTTACGCTGTCTCTTAACATTGATTCTTCAATCAGTAAACTCACTGAAGCTGACAAAAGAACACTAGTGAAATACAATGCCTCCTCATGCTAGGCTCTGGGGAGAATCAGGTTTGTGGGTAATGCTTTCAACATCCACAATATTCTAACATCTTAAAGAACATGCTCCTAGACAGCTTACATACTAAAGAGTACTATGCCTCGAAGAACTAATCATCCTTCCTAAGTGCAGTTATCTGTAAATGCTAGTTTGAGATATTTAAATAATGTGATTTGGATTTTACAAAAAGACTTTTTTTTTTGCCTTCAGATGGACATACTTTAAGATTGCTACCAAATGAAAACTCTGTAATTGTTAGTTCGGTTTTCAATGCTGGATATTGGCTAAATCCCCATCTGTGCTTCTGATGATGGTGTTTGTGCATACCCTAGGCATATTTTGTTCTGCAGGAAAATAAAGCGAAGTTAAGTTCCAGAAGTCTAAACTGTGGAAAGACAGGGCTTGTTCATCCTTGTCATGTTCATCCCTGTATCTAAAGCTCAGGAGCTCAATAACTATTTAATGAAGGAGTAAATGAGTAAAGGAATTTATTAGTATTTTTGACAAATTCCAAACAGATTAGAGAGGCACAAATGATTTTTATTAAAACTTATATTCTCCCCTTTCTTCTCCCAGACTGTAATTTAAAATATGTACTCATAATTTGCTTAATTTGGAAACAGGCGGAGAATAGAAATTCTATCTTTAAAAGTACCATATTCTGTATTGAGTATTACTTGGCACTTAAAAAATAATTTTTTTTTTTTTTGAGGCAGGGTCTTTCTCTGTTACCCAGGCTGCAGTGCAGTGGTGCAATCACGGCTCACTGCAACCTTGACCTCCCAGGCACAGGCAATTCTCCCACCTCAACCTCCCTAGTAGCTGGGACCACAAGTGTGTGCCACCTCGCCTGGCTAATTTTTGTATTTTTTGTGGAAATGGGGTCTATGCTATGTTGCCCAGGCTGGTATTGAACTCTTGGGCTCAAGTGATTTGCTCACCTCGGCCTCCCAAAGTGCTAGGATTACAGGTATAAGCCACCACACCTGGCCAGAAATAATGTTTTAAAAGCATGACAGGAAGTTTCCAGTCAATAAGTTTAATGTCAGGGTTGGTCAGACCATACTATACATGCTGTGAGACTTTTTCATCCTATCAGGTTTATTACATTTATTGTACATTATTGATTTAGAAACTCATAAACTACCTTTCGTTAAAATTACATTTTCAACCAAAGCAAGTTATTGGAAATAAAAAGCACTGTAGGAATTATATATATATGTACATATATACATACATATAATTGTATATATGTACATATATGTTATATATGTACATATAATATATGTAAATATATAATTATATATGTATATTATATATGTGCATATATACACAAAATATACAAATATATGTTTATATGCACATATTTAATTATATATTATATTAATTATATTAATATATTAATTGTATAGTAATATAATTAATATTAATATATTAATATAATATAGTATATTAATATAAAATTATATATGTGCATATATACATATATTTGTATGTTATATATGTATATATTTATATATAAATATGTATTTATGTTTGTATATATTTATATAAATATACATTTATATATAAATACATATATACATATAAACATATATATTTACATATAAATATATTTATATGTATATATTTAAATATATATAAATGTATACTTATACATTTATATATTATATACAAACATATTTATATACATTTTATATATATTTATATATTTTGATTTTTTATCACACTAGAAAACTGATCAATTAAAACAGAAAACTCCTATTTAAACTTGAAGCTTTACTACTTCAGTAATTTTATCATATAATACTATTTTAACATTGTAATAACATTGTAATATTTGCTTTGGCCAATACTGCCTGAAAGTAAACTCATGGCTATATTCTTAAAACCTAGATATGTCCTAAATTTCTGAATAAAAAGGGATAGACTAGTGCTTTTTATAGAATTTTATACTTTTTGTAAAAACATTCACCAAAGTAAATAAGATACAATTTGACTATATTTATTTTAATTATAAGAAGACACTTTTTGGGCATTTTCCTTCCAATCTACATGGACTCTCATCCATTCTTCTAACTGAGCACTTAGTGCAGCAGATGGCTAGAGAACATGGATGGGGTTAGCTACACCTATGTTCCCCTGAGAATCACACGAGCTAGTCCCTAGTCTGTCTTCTTTGGGGGTTTAGAGATTGGCAGGGATTGCTAGGGTCTGGTAGCATCACCTAATTCACTGGGTCCAATTTCCATTTTTCTTTAGTATGAGGGACTATATTGTGGGTCAAATGAGAAGAAGAAACGAATGTGTATGAAAGAACCCAGAGAAGAAACAGTGCTCGGTGGTTTTCAAGTTTTCAACTCTGGCTGCACTTTCCGCTAACTTGGGCAGCTTTAAAACCGTGATGCCTGGACTCCGCCCCAGTGCAGCTGAATCACAGTTTGCATTCATTGCACAAAGTATTGTTTAGAAGGTGCTTTTAGGAGTATCTTGCAGTGATCTTATAGGGCTGAGGAAGTTTGCCCATGCAGGGAGGCAGGACTTGCTTCATTTTCAAGAGACGCGGAAGTCGGGCAGCAACCTTCCCTGTTAGTTCATTGTTGTGTTTTTAGTCACAAAACAGGTCCTGGTGCATAATAAGTCTAAATAAATATCTGTTGAATAAATAAATGACAAAGTATAAAGACTAAGCTGTGTTTTCTCCTCATGGTAGGGATATGCACTCTAGGTTCTCTCTTCAAATGTGCAGCAGATTTCTCTTTAGCCATTCCACTCGCAAACTGGCATCTGTCTGACAGGCGATGTCTTAAGTCTTTTCTTATTGAACGCTATTTTATTTCTTGATGTTTATTATGGAAAGAGTAGATGATGTTTCATGTATTATTTTCTGATTAATAAATGAAAATTAGATTTTATGTTATGTTAAAATAACGTTAAGAGATTTTACTGAATAATCTATGTTTTGAGTAGATAAATTAACCGCAAAATAAAACCATTTTCATTTACCCTTTCTTCCCATCCAGAAATCAAAATGTTGTGGTCAAAATGTTCCTGATGCAAAGGATGAAGACTGTTCTTGGATAAAATCAATGTCCTGGGATACAGATACACAAAATATAAAAATCTCATAGGGCACTGAAGACATCTATGACACTGACCACAAGTGTGATCTTCCATGGTCCCAACTTTCAGAAAAGGAAGAATGACCCGGCTGAGGGAGTTCAATGGGACTGTGTTAACTGACATATTCCAATAGAAAGAAACGTATGATGCTTTAACAACTTACATGAACATTATTAACGTAATGGCTAATACTTTATCCATGAATGATACTGAAGTGATTCCATGCTGTAATATAAGGATTTGCTAAAATTACATTATAATTTATAATGTTACATCATATATACATATTTTACTCATCTGTAATTTTGTTAGAAATAATTTTAGCAGTTACTTCACAAGAAATGAAAAGTATTAGAAATAAAAAATTTGTATATTCATGAGTGCTTTGTGTAGTTTTCCTTTAAGGTACTATATAGATAGCTTTCACTGACTATTAAATTTTTTTTCCCAAATAGAGGAAATTATACACACACACACGCAAAATTTCCTTAGCACTTAGCACTTGGCACACTTAAGTGTCTGGTACAGATGTGTGTGTGTATATAAAATCAGAAGTAGATGAGCCATTTCAGGGATATTTTATTGCCTATACTAATTGAAAAATGGGACCTGAAATTTTAAGTTTGGAATGATAAATTTTCTTTAGTATTAGGGACTTGGATTAGGAAAAATCCAAGCATACAACTTTTTGGCTACTACTACTGCTGAAAAAACAAAAGAATCACATACATAGACAGTGTTCTCTTGCAACATTCTGGGAAGACTATGACATTCTCGTATCATGTAAACTGTTACTCCATTTTCTTTACTTATGTGGAAGTAGCTCTATAACTAATTAAATCTTGTGTGAAACGTGTGAATGCAGTCACTTCTTTCTTTTTTTTGAGATGGAGTCTTGCTCTGTCGCCCAGGCTGGAGTGCAGTGGCACGATCTTGGCTCACTGCAAGCTCCAGCTCCCAGCTTCACACCATTCTCCTGCCTCAGCCTCCTGAGTAACTGGGACTACAGGCACCCGCCACCATGCTCGGCTAATTTTTTTGTATTTTTAGTAGAGATGGGGTTTCACCATGTTAGCCAGGCTAGTCTTGAACTCCTGACCTCGTGATCTGCCCGCCTTGGCCTCCCAAAGTGCTGGGATTACAGGCGTAAGCCACTGTGCCTGGCCAGTCACTTCTCATTTTACTTTTTTTTTTGAGACAAGGTCTTGCTCTGTCACTCAGGCTGGAGTGCAGTGGTGGTATCATAGCTCACTACAGCCTCAAGCTCCTGGGCTCAAGAGAACCACCTGCCTCAGCCTCCCAAGTAACTGAGACTACAGGGGTGTGCCACCATGCCTGGCTAATAAAAGAAAAACATTTTTTATTTGTATTTTTTTCAAAGCCAGGGTCTTACCATCTTGCCTAGGCTGGCCTTGAACTCCTGGGCTCAAGTGATCCTCCTTCCTGCCTTGGCCTCCCAAAGTGCTGGGATTACAGGCGTGAGCCACTGTGCCTGCCCCTACAGTGATTTTTTAAAAAAGTAAATCCTCCCTTCTATTCTACCATCTATTTCTTCAGTTTTCCTACAATTTTTTTGACCATGTCATCTGTTTCCTCCAATGTCTCCTCTTCCTTCCTTCTCCTTCAACTGCATTCTCATTGACCTGAGAATTTCTCTACTCTTTCAATTTCTGAGGTCTCATTCATTTTTCAGTGTTCAGTTCTCAGATGATGTCCCAAAACCCATCCAGTTTCTCAGGCCCTGACTCTTCTTTGCCACCCCGACAGCTTATATCTACACCCCAGAAGCTGATTCTCCACGGCTGGAGCTGACCAGATTCCAGATCACAGTCGCCACACTCCCAACCTGCTAACTGGCTGCTCCTCTCTCTTCCCTGTTCCTATGACAAGCATCGATATTCTTCAGTCTCCCACGGGCTCTACTCCTAAGCAGGGAGGCCCTCAAGGGCTATTCCTGCATTGTTCTGTACTAGAGTGTGAGCTTCATGTGGGCAAGGCTCAGGTCTGTTGTGATCAATGCTGTCAGCCCAGGGTCTAGAGCAGTAGTGCCCAGGATGGAACAAACATGCAGCGTGAATTTTTGTACAAATGACATGAACAGCTCCATCTATTCATGACATACCACATACCTTTGCTTTGCCACATGAATTTTAAAAATATATTAAAGTAGAAAATTATCTCAATAGATGCAGAAAAAGCCTTCGATAAAATTCAACACCCTTTCATGCTAAAAACGCTCAATAAACCAGGTACTGATGGAACGTATCTCAAAATAATAAGAGCTATTTATGACAAACACGCAGCCAATATCATACTGAATGGGCAAAACCTGGAAGCAGTCCCTTTGAAAACCAGCACAAGACAAGGATGCCCTCTCTCACCACTCCTATTCAACATAGTGTTGGAAGTTCTGGCCAGGGCAATCAGGCAAGATAAATAAATAAAGGGTATTCAAATAGGAAGAGAGGAAGTCAAATTATCTCTGTTTGCAGATGACACAATTGTATATTTAGAAAACCCCATTGTCTCAGCCCAAAAACTCCTTAAGCTGATAAGCAATTTCAGCAAAGTCTCAGGATACAAAATAAATGTGCAAAAATCATAAGCATTCCTATACACCAATAATAGAGAGTCAAATCATGAGTGAACTCCCATTTACGATTGCTACAAAGAGAATAAAATACTTAGGAATAAAACTTAAAGTGATGTGAAGGACCTCTTCAAGGAAAACTACAAACCATTGTTCAAGGAAATAAGAGAGGACACAAACAAATGGAAAAAAATTCCATGCTCATGGATAGGAAGAATCAATATCGTAAAAATGACTATACTGCCCAAAGTAATTTATAGATTCAACGCTATTTCCATCAAGCTACAATTGACTTTCTTCACAGAATTAGAAAAAACTACGTTAAATTTCATATGGAACCAAAAAAGAGCCCATATAGCCAAGCAAAAAGAACAAAGCTGGCGGCATCATGCCACCTGACTTCAAACTATACTACAAGGCTACAGTAAAAAAACAGCTTGGTACTGGTACCAAAACAGATATATAGACCAATGGAACAGAACAGAGGCCTCAGAAATAACACCACACATCTACAACCATCTGATCTTTGACAAACCTGACAAAAACAAGCAATGGGTAAAGGATTCCCTATTTAATAAATGGTGTTGGGAAAACTGGCTAGCCATATGCAGAAAACTGAAACTGGACCTCTTCCTTACACCTTATACAAAAATTAACTCAAGATGGACTAAAGATTTAAATGTAAGGCCTAAAACCATAAAAACCCTAGAAGAAAACCTAGGCAATACCATTCAGGACATAGGCATGGGCAAAGACTTCATGACTAAAACACCAAAAGCATTGGCAACAAAAGCCAAAATAGACAAATGGAATATAATTAAACTAAAGAGCTTCTGCACAGTAAAAGAAACTATCATCAGAGTGAACAGGCAACCTACAGAATGGGAGAACATTTTTGTAATCTATCCATTTGACAAAGGGCTAATATCCAGAATCTACAGGGAACTTAAACAAATTTACAAGAAAAAAACAACCCCATCAAAAAGTGGGCGAAGGATATGAACAGACACTTTTCAAAAGAAGACATTTATGCAGCCAACAAACATTAAAAAAAAAGCTCATCATCACTGGTCATTAGAGAAATGCAAATCAAAACCACAATGAGATACCATCTCATGCCAGTTAGAATGGCGATCATTAAAATGTCTGGAAACAACAGATGCTGGAGAGGATGTGGAGAAATAGGAACACTTTTACACTGTTGGTGGGAGTGTAAATTAGTTCAAACATTGTGGAAGACAGTGTGGCAATTCTTCAAGGATCTAGAACTAGAAATACCATTTGACTCAGCAATCCCATTACTGGTTATACACCCAAAGGATTATAAATTATTCTAATATAAAGATACATGCACACGTATGTTTATTGCAGCGCTATTCACAACAGCAAAGACTTGGAAACAACCCAAATGCCTATCAATGATAGACTGGATAAAGAAAATATGCCACATATACACCATGGAATACTATGCAGCCATAAAAAAGAATGAGTTCATGTCCTTTGCAGGGATATGGATGAAGGTGGAAACCATCATTCTCAGCAAACTAACACAGGAACAGAAAACCAAACACCACATGTTCTCACTCATAAGTGGGAGTTGAACAATGAGAACAATGAGGGCATGGGGTGGTGAACATCACACACTGGGGCCTGTCAGCGAGTGGAGGCAAGGAGAGGGGTAGCGTTAGGAGAAATAAGCAATGTAGATGACGGGTTGATGGGTGCAGCAAACCACAATGGCACATGTATACCTATGTGACAAACCTGTACGTTCTGCATATGTATCCCAGAACTTAAGTATAATTAAAAAAAAGAAAAAAGAAAATAATAACCAATATTTGTGGATCACTGTTTTCTGCATTTGATACTTATCTGCTTTATTTCTTACAAAAACCTTATGATGAGGCAGAGGGAACATATTGTTAAATTTCCACTTTAGAAATGTTAAACTGAGACTCGATGGGCAAGTAATGAGTCTAATTTCTTCACCTGAATTTGGTTTCATCTTCTCTTAACTTCTTACAGACTTTGCTTCATCTAGAATCTCCTATTGGCTTTGTCTCATGTGACTGTCCCCTGCTTTCAACTCCCACTCTCTCAATGGCTTACTCTCTCTTGCCTAACAATTGGAATATTGTACTAATTAACCTCCTATTTCTTTTTTCTTTTTTTCTCTTTTTTTTTTTTTTTTTTTTTTTTGAGACAGGGTCTTGCTTTGTCACCCAGGTTGGAGTACAGTGGCTTGATCTCGGTGCACTGCAACCTCTGCCTCCCAGGCTTAAGTGATCCTCCTGTCTCAGCCTCCCGAGTAGCTGGGACCACAGGCTAGTGCCACCATGCCCTGATTCTTGTATTTTTTTGCAGAGACAGGGGTCTCACTATGTTGCCCAGGCTGGTCTCGAACTCCTGGGCTCAAGCAATCCACCCATGTTGGGATTACAAGCATGAGCTACCATGCCTGGCCCTATTTCCATTCTTAACAAAATTCTATTTTATACTTCTACCAGAATTACCTTCAAAAAATACAAATTTGATGTCATTCTTCTTAAAAACTACAATAGTTTCCCTGACCTCCCAGAAGATTTCATCTTTTCCCAGACATGGTAATACAGAAACTAGAATAAAACAATTTCTATAATCCAGATTGAAGAGTAATGAAAAAATAATTTGGTACAAGAAATTTTCAATTAGCCTTCACAGTGCAGGGAGTATGGTTTCAGTATCTTTTGAAAGTAACATGTATTGGCCGGGCGCAGTGTCTCATTCCTATAATCCCAGCACTTTGGGAGGCCAAGGCGGGTGGATCACCTGAGGTTGGGAGTTCAAGACCAGCCTGACCAACATGGTGAAACCCTGTCTCTACTAAAAATACAAAATTAGCCGGCCGTGGTGGCACATGCCTGTAATCCCAGCTACTTGGGAGGCTGAGGCAGGAGAATCGCTTGAACCCGGGAGGTGGAGGTTGCAGTGAGCCGAGATTGTGTCATTGCACTCCAGCCTGGGCAACAAGAACAAAACTCCATCTCAAAAAAAAAAAAAAAAAAAAAAAAAGAAAGTGACATGCATTTTTCCATATAACAATTTGAAAGACACAAGCTTCAAATGGCATTCATTTTATGTGTGTAGAGGTATTATAGTAATAGTTAATACAGCTATGCATAAGATGTACTTAGGGCTGATGTGTCTAGCTAGCTAAAGGCAATACTGCTTATTACTATTGCTCTCATATTAAAAATTAACATTTTGTGAAAAACACACAATGCACTAGAATGGCCTTGGTTAAACCATCAGGCGGAGCCAGTCTACAGATAATGCTGCCTCAATTCCTAGATGTCGTGGAAATAAAACTCTTAATGTTTTATTACTTCATCGTCTGAAGTTAAACAAGTCCTACAGGAGGATAACAGTAGGCCAGAGTCATAACATTGCTCTATGTAATATCAGCACACTGACGCTAAATTCTTTTTTTCTTTTCTTTGAGACAGGGTCTCACTGTGTCGCCCAGGCTGGAGTGCAGTGGCATGATCAGAGCTCACTGCAGCCTGGACCTCCCAGGCTCAAGCAATCCTCCCTCCTCAGCCTCCCCAGTAGCTGGGGCCACAGATGTGTGCTACCACAACTGGCTAAGTTTTTGTAGAGATGAAGTTTCGCCTTGTTGTCCAGGCTTGATGGTAAATGATGCTACTGCCAGACCCGGCATGGTGATGGCCTTCCTGTATCTCATTTGAACTCATGAACGTATTTAATGTAATTCTCTTATGTTCAGCTGTCAAGGAACTTACATTTTATTGTATCTTTTTTTTCTGGGAGAATCTTTTAGCTACCACCACTTTATATTTATAAAATCCCATTCTTGTTTTCTGTGAGATTTTTAAAAACAAGATAACCAGACGTAACTCTATGAAGATAAATTATGGGTGAAAACTCTTTCAACTAAATTAATTCAATATAGTGTTGTGCAAAATGCTATGCATTCCTGTCATTTGGGGGAGGTGTTTAAATTTCTCAAGACCCTTCCTAAATGAAATCAGTATAAAAGATGTGAAATCATTACTTCATATTTTCTATCAGTAGCTTCAGTTATAATTCAGGGACCCACTAAGATACTGCTGGCTGCCAAAGTTTACCAAAGCAAGGAGGCAACCCGGTCATATTATCTATTTAGAAACTCAATGCTCTACAGGTGGCACTCCTTTCCTGTTATGTTTGGATAAAGAGAAATGATTGTGAAATAAAGAACAAAAGAAATTAAAAAGGGTAGCAACGTATGAGAAGATAAGTGATTGTGAAACAAAGAATGGAAGAAAGTAAACAGAGTAGCAATGTATGAAAATTTCACCTTCATAGCATTTACTTAATACATTTTATTCCTACATAACTAGATTATTGAACAAACTGGACTTGAGAGGAGGCAGGCAGGACACAACCTTATTTTTCCTTCCACTGACTCTTTAAGCCCAATCTGTGGACTTGTTTCTTTGCCTCTTGGATGAAATGTTGGGCAGATTCCACAGCTTTTCTGGTTACTTTTTAAAAACACTGTGAAATTCATAATGTAAAATTTAACCGTCTTAACAATTTCTAAGTGTACAATTCAGTAGTGTTAAATATATTCATATTATTGTGCCACCAATCTCTAGAATTTTTTCATCTTGCAAAACTGAAACTCTAAACACATTAAGCAACAAATTCCTGTTTCTCCTCCCTTCCAGCCCCAGCAATCACCGTTCTACTTTCTGTCTCTATGAATTTGACTACTCCAGATATCTCATATAAGTGGTATCATATAGTAGTCATCTTTTTTGTGAGTGGCTTATTTCACTTAACATGATGCCTTCAAGTTTTATCCATATTGTAGCATTTGTCAGAATTTCCTTCATTTTTAAGGCTGAATAATATTCCGTGGTGTGCATATACCATATTTTGTTTATTCGTTCATTCATGCATGGATACCTGGGTTGCTTCCACCTCTTGGCAATTGTGAATAGTGTTGCTATGAACATGGGTATACAACCATCTCTTCAAGATCTTGCTTTCAATTATTTTGGATATATACCCGGAAATGAGATTGTTGGATCATATGGTAATTCTGCTTTGAATTTTTTGAGGAACCATCATGCCATTTTCCACAGGGGCTGCACCATCTTGCATTCCAATGACAGTGTACAAGGGTTCCAACTGTCCCGCGTTCTCATGAACACTTATTTTGTATTGTGTTTTGGGTGGTAGCCATCCTAAATGGTATATGATGATATCTCATTGCAGTTTTGATTTGCATTTTTCTAATGATTGGTGATGTTGCATATCTTTTCATATGCTTGTTGGCCATCTGTATATCATCTTTGGAGAAATGTCTATTTAATTCTTTTGTCCATTTTAAATTTGGGTTATTTTGCTCTTGTCGTTATTGTTGAGTTGTAGGAATTCTTTATGTATTCTGGGTATTAACCCCTTTTCAGATATATGACTGGCAAATATCTTCTTCTATTCCATAGGTTGCCTTTTCACTCTGTTGAATGTGTACTTTGGTACACAGAAGTCTTAAATTTTGATGTAATCCAATTTGTATATTTTTACTTTTGTTGCCTGTTTCTGGTCATGTTTAAGGTACTAGAACCTCTAGTTAAATAACCGAGTCTAATACAGTGCAATAGTCAAAACTCTGGACACTCCACCAGTTGGAAACCTCTCCCTCCCGCATCCAGCCAGCTTCAGATTGGACGATCTGTGGTGGAGTGGCAGAGGGCTGGCGCTGGGATGCCTGGCTTTTCCTCTTTTCTCCAAATTGCTCTCAACTTGTTGCAGGTGCTTGTTGTTTCTGACCCCTCTGTTAGAAGGTGTTGGGCCCAGGGAGAGCAAGAATCTGCAGAAGTGGTGCACCCGTGATCTACTCTCAAGGTCCTCTAGATGGTGGGTATCAAATCTTGGTTCTTCCTCTCAAAGAGAACTTTTGAGGGTTCCTCAAAGAACCCATGAGGGAGCTGGCTGTAGTTCTTCTGAAGCCATGCACTGATCAAAAGAAGTGTGCCTGACATTAGTGGTCAGGGACAGCAAGTCCTTTTGGGTCTTCGAGCTGGTGTGAGAAGTATCTGATGCTGTACTGCTGCTGGCCCTTGGTGCACCAGGCAGCCATGCCATGTCTGGCACTTTTGCCTGTGAGATGCCCAAAGGCTCATGTTAGTGGGAAACATGAGCAATGGCAGGCTGGTTGTGTGGGAGGTGAAGGCTGAGCAGTCCTCCTGTAGACTGACCTGAGGGAGTCCAAATGCTCCTGCTACCGTGGCTTGTCTTTTACTACGTGGTGTATGAATCCACTAGTTGTTGTTTGGTGGTATATTACATTTTGCGGTAGCGATTAACTCCAGCTCCAAGGAACACAGGTCGAACTCCTGAGCTCTCCCCCTGAAGCTTCTTTCCCGCCTAGACACTGTGTGGTACACCAGTATCTCCAGAACAAGTGCCACCCCTGGTCTCCCTGCACTCCCTGTCTACAGCGTCATGCTGGGCGGGGCCTAGTGCTCACAGCCTGCTATCTCTCTGCAGGGCCTTGCAGTTGGTGCCTTTCTTAGGATGTAGCAGTACCAGGTGCTACTGCATGGTTCTCAGCCTCTAGGGCCTTGGCTTCCCCTGAGAAGGGAGTCCCATTTAAACATCCTGCTGGGCGCGGTGGCTCACGCCTGTAATCCCAGCACTTTGGGAGGCTGAGATGGGTGGATCACTTGAGGTCAGGAGTTTGAGACCAGCCAGCCAACATGGCAAAACCCTGTCTCTACTAAAAATACAAAAATTAGCTGGCTGTGGTGGCGTGCGCCTGTAATCCCAGTTACTTGGGAGGCTGAGGCAGGAGAATCGCTTGAACTCGGGGGATGGAAGTTGCAGTGAGCTGAGACTGCACCACTGCACTCCAGGCTGGGTGACAGAGTGAGACTGTCTCAAAAAAAAAAAAAAAAAAAAGTCCAGCTACCTGACTGTATTACAGAGAACAAAGAAAACTAAAACAAGTAGCAGTTTAAAAATGAGGCACTAGTGAAATTACTTGATAAAAATACCTCTGAAAAAAAATTTTTAGGTACTTTATTTATTTATTTATTTATTTATTTATTTATTATTGTTATTATTTGAGATGAAGTCTCACTCTGTCGGCCAGGTTGGAGTGCACTGGTGTGATCTCGACTCACTGCAACCTCCACCTCCCGGGGTTCAAGTGATGGGCCTGCCTCAGCCTCTTGAGTAGCTAGGACTACAGGTGCATGCCACCACGCCTGGCTAAGTTTTGTATTTTAGTAGAGATGGGGTTTCACCATGTTGGCCAGGTTGGTCTCAAATTCCTGACCTCAGGTGATCCACCTGCCACAGTCTCCCCAAGTGTTGGGATTACAGGTGTGAGCCACTGCGTCTGGCCATAATTTTAATAATAGTATCTGAAATAATGTATCTTATTAACCCATCTTATAACAACAAGTGACTCAATACTGAAATTCAAGCAAAACCAACGTCATGATGTCTTAGTCTGTTTTCTGTTACTTACAACAGATGACCTGAAACTGGATGATTTATTCAAAAGTGGAATTTATTTCTGACAGCTCTGAAGGCTGAGAAGCTCAAAGTTGAGGGGCTGCATCTGGTGAGGGCCTTCTTCCTGGTGGGAACTGTGCAGAATCCTGAGGTGACAGGGCATCACATGATGTGCTGGCTCAGTTCTCTTTCCCCTGCTTAGAAAGCCACCAGTCCCACTTTTGTGACATCCCATTAATCAATCAACCCATGAATCCTTGCGCGGGTTAATCTATTAATGAGGGCAGAGCCCTCATGACCCAATCACCCCTTAGAGAGCCCCCACCTTTTAATACTGCCACATTGAGGATTGAGTTTTAGAGGGGAATGCTACCATTCCACCCCTGATCCCCCAAAACTCATTTCCTTCTCACATTCATTCTACTCCCATAGTTCCAAAGTCTGAACTAATTCCAGCACAAAATTCCAGTTCAAAGTCCAGAGCCTCACTTGTGAGCCTGTGAAACCAAAACAAGCTCTCTTCTTCCAAGATACAGTGGTGGTACAGGCATTAGACAGACATTCCTATTTCAAAAGAGAGAAATAGGCAAAAAGAGAGGAGTAATAGGCCCCAAGCAAGCCCAAGACCCAGTAAAGAAGACGTCAAATCTTAAAGCTGGAGAATAGTCTCTTTTGACTCCATGTGCCACCTGCTGTACACACTGGGGCAGAGGTTGGGGCCCTAAGGCTTCAGGCAGCTGCCCCCACCCCCTGGCTTTGCTGGGTGCAGTCCCTGTGGCAAAGCGCCTGAAGCTTTGCCATGCAGGTGCTGCATGCTGCTGGGGACTCCACTGCCCTGGGGTCCTGGTGGTGGTCCCGCTCCCATGGCTCCACTAGCAGCCCTGGTGGGGACTCCCTGTAGCAGCTCTGACTCCACATTTCTGCTAGCATTACTCTAGTGAGGGCTCTCTGCAGTGATGCCATCCCTGAACATGTCTCTACCTGGCTTCTAGGCTTTCAGCCACATCCTCTGAAATCTAGGTAGAGGGTGCCAATCCTCCGCAGCTATTGCTTTCTGCAAGCCTGCAGAATTAGCATCATGAGACACCATCAAGGCTACAGCTTGTATCTTCTTGAGCAGCGGGCTGATCCACACCTGGGACTACTTGAGCCACAGCTGGGGCAGCTGAGAAGCACCTCACCAGAATCTGGTTAGCAGGGTCCTGAGGTGGCCCTGGGGAGGGAGTCTGTGGAAGGTGTCTTGGGCTCATCCCTGCCCTCATAGGCCTCTGGGCCTGTAACAGCGGGGAAGCCTCAAAGGTCTTTAAAATGGCTTTGCGGTCTTTCTTTCACTGTTTTGAGGAGAAGCACCTGGCTTCCTTCTAGCTGTGCTAATCTCTTTGGCAAGAGGTCGCCGTGCTACATCCTTGATTTCCTCTTCTAAACATGCTTTTTCACTTTTTTTGAGGAAGGGTCTCACTCTGTTGCTCAGGAATGCAGTGGTGTGATCATGGCTCACTGCAGCCCCCTAGGCTCTGGTGATCCTACCACCTCAGCCTCCTGAGTAGCTGGGACTACCAGTAGCTGTGCACCACCACACCCAGCTATTTTTTTTATTTTTTGTAGAGGTGGGGTTTTGCCATGTTGTGCATTCTGGTCTCAAACTCCTGGACTCAAGTGATCTGCCTGCCTCAGCCTGCCAAAGTGCTGGGATTACAGGCGTGAACCACTGTGCCCAGCCATTTTTCACTCTTTATATGGCCAGGCTGAGAATTTTCCAAATCTTTCTGCTTTGCTTTTCTTTTGGTTATAAATTCTGTCTCCAAGTCATTTTTTTCCCTCTCACAGCTTAATGTTAGCAATTAAAAGTGGCCATGTAGCAGCCTGAATGATTTTCTGCTTGGATACTTCTTCCACAGATACCCTAGTTCATCACTTTCAAGTTTGCTCTTCCACAAAGCCCTCAGACATGGACACAGTTCAACCAAGTTGGTTTTTTTTTTTTCTAATTTATAAAAAGGATAGCCTTTACTCTAGGTTCCAAGAGAGTTCCATTTGAGACCTTGTCAGAATGGCCTTCATTGTCCAAATTTCTGTCAGTATTCTGGTCATGATCACTTAAACAATCTCTAGTGAGTTCCAAACTTTCCTTAGTCGTCTTGTCGTCTAAGCCTTTACCAGAATGAATTGAAGGCTTTTTCTGGCCTTGGCCTGCTCCTCCAAATGCTTCTGGCCTCTGCCCTTACTTTCACGTTTTCAGGTATTCATTATTAGCAACAGCCCCACTTCTGATACCAATTTTCTTAGTCCATTTTCTATTGCTTATAACAGAATACCTGAAACTGGATAATTTATAAAGAAAAGAAGTTTATATATATTGATGATAATTGCTTTCCAGAAAGATCGTGAGGGCCTTCTTGCTGGTGGGGACCCTTTGCAGGGTCCCAAGGTGGTGCAGGGCATCACATGGCAAGCGGTCTGAGTGTGCTAGTTCAGGTCTCTCTTGCTGTTCTTATGAAGCCACCAGTGCCACTCCTGTGATAACCCATTAATCACTTAACTCATTAATCCATTGATCCATGTGTGGATGAACCCATACATGAGGGCAGAGCTCTCATGACCCACCACCTCTTAAAGGTCCTGCCTCTCAAAACTGCCACACTGGGGATTAAGTTTCCACATGAGTTGAGGGAACAAACATTCAAACCATAGCGCATGGGAAAGGCATAAGAGTCAGGTTAACACAAAAATATTACTAGCTGTATGAAAAAAGCAAACTAAATTGTTGGTCATTTGGGCAACCATTGTTTGTAAACAAAAATGCAACTTATGAGATGAATGATAAACCTGGGTATCTGCAAATCAAGGAGTTAGAAAAATATGGAAAACTACTAGATGAATTGAGCTTAATATAAGAGTTCCTATGACCCCTGGTCTGTTTAGCAATGCCTTCTTAGAGCTATGTCAGTCACTGGCCTCTTAGTACTCATGGCTGAAACAGTATGAGATGCTGATGGAACAGAAAATGAGGCACCTTTTGAATTTAGGGGGTAAACTGAGAATTTAGGTTCAACTTGACTAGGACTCGTTCTCTGCAGATTGGTCTTCCAGAGATGGAGCTGGCCTCCCATGGAATAGGACCACTGGGTTCTGAAATATGCACCACAGATACTAGCTAGAATTGAGTACCTAAGGCAGTGAGGTTAATCATGATAGAATGCTGAGTGGCAGATCAGAGTTGGAAACTACTGATCTACCAGGTTACATAGTTAAAATTATAAGACTTGGCTCCTAGACTCTGACCATGCCACGGGAAGGCCTGGTACTTCCCCTGTCATGTAGCTGATCACGTTTATGTAAGAATACAAGGCTGAAGTCCTTTTCCTGGAGTCTAATATCCAGCTCTTCTCAGTCAACGTGAGCCACCCAACTGTGGGGGGGCAATGGGAAACTGCACTTGCAATTGTTCTTGTCTTGGTAAGTTTAGGCCTGGTGTGTGCTGCAAGGACACTGGAGCCCTGAGAAAGGCTTCTTAAAGTGGGGACTCCTAAGCTGAGTACTTAAGGACGAGAAATTTGCTAGGTAGGCAAATGGTTTGTGTGTGTTGTGGAGGTGGAGGGGATGGGAACAGCAGGTGGGTATATCAGATATCATTTGGTTCTTTCATTAATCATTTCTCTCTTGAGAAATGATTTCTTTCTTTAATCACCTCTCTCTTGAGAATTCATATTTTTCAACTCATTGAAAGCATATTTTGTTTTACTTCATTGAGGAGAGTTCTAATAGCTGTTTAAAAATCATTGGCTGCTAATTCCAGTATCTGGCACATCTTGGCATCGGACTCAGTTGATTTTGAGAATATGTTTCATTTTCTTGGTTCTTTATATGATAGGTAGTTTTTCTTATTGTATACTGGACCTTATCAATATTAAGTTGTAGAAATTCTGGATTCAGTTAATTTTCTCTCATGATTATGATTTCTTTTGTTTAAGTAGGCAATCATCTGTGTTTGAGTTGCAATCTCTATTTTTTGGGGTGGCAGCTTCAGTCTCAGTTCAGATATTTTTTCTCTAGATGAGCTGCTTTGAATTTGGTCCATACATACGTGGTTCAAGGGTCACTCGGAAATGTGGGCAGACATGTTTGCTGAAACCTTCTCTTGCTCTTTTGCTTCCAAGATTCTTCCACTTTTTTCAGTGTCCATGATTCCCTAGCTCGGTTTTTTTTTTTTTTTTTTTTTTTTTTTTTAAATTTCCCTGGTCAAAAAGACTGCTGTTTTCAATTAGTGTCTCCTCCAAGACCACACACTCCAAGTAGACTATATTTAGCCCCAGAACAGAAGCCATAAAAACAGAGAATTTGTACAGCTCCCATCCTCTTTTTCTCTGAGCTTGTCTCCTCCACCCGATTTCGTCTGCTCTGTCCACTCTCCAATTCACTGATGTAGTTGCTTTGGTATTATGTCCAGTGTTTATAGATATTTTCTGTTGGGACTCCTCCAGTTGGGTCTTGTTCTGTCATTACTGGAGGTGAGGTGAAAATTCCTACTATTTATCTTTTAGCATAAAAGATGTGTTATTAAAGAAGGTAAAATCCAACTTACTCAGATTCCACTGACATTGATGGGAGTGTAAAAAGTTGGTACAATCTTTCTTTTATCATCAATATATATCAAGAGCCTAAAAATGTTCATTATTTGACCTAGTAATCTCACTTGTAGGAATCTGCCAAGGAAAGATTTAAAGACACATTTATGATTGAAAATGTTGTTTATAATTTTAGAAGAGTAAAAAATTAGGAAAGCTTCAATGACCAGCAGTAGGACATCATTAAATCAATAATTGCACTTTAGGTACTATCTGTAAGGAATACTGAATAATATGAAAAACACAAAATATATTTAATGATAAAAACAGAAAATAAAATTATATTCATCATCCCAATTTTATGGAATTACAAACATATACATAAAAAGACTGAAAGGCAATGTTATAAGTGATAATTCTTACTCAATTTTGGTGGTGAAATTAGGAGAGATCTTTTTTCTTTTTCATAATTTATCTCCTTCCTCTCTTCCTCCCTCCCTCCTCTCTCTTTCCTTCCTTCCTTCTCCTTCCTTCCTTTCTTTCTTTCAGATAGGGTTTCACAGTCTTCCTTCCTTCCTCCCTCCCTCCCTCCCCCCTCCTTCCCCCTTCCCTTCCCTCCCCCTTCTTCCCCCTTCCCTTCCCCTCCCCTCCCCTCCTCTCCCTTCCCTTCCCTTCCCTTCCCAGTCTCTTTCTCTTTCCCTCTTTCTTTCTTTCTCCTTCCCTCCCTCCCTCCCTTCTTTCTTTTCTTTCTTTCTTTTTCCCTTTTCTTTTTTCTTTTCTTTCTTTTGATAGGTTTCACAATGTTGCCTAGGCTGCAGGGCAATGGTGCAATCATGGCTCAACAACTCACTGCAGCCTTGACTTCCCAGGCTCAAGCAATCTTCCCACTTCAGCCTCCCAAGCAGGTGGGACTACAGGCATGTGCCACCAAGCCAGGCTAATTTACAAAATTCTTTTGTAGAGACAGGGTCTCACTCTGTTGTCCAGGCTGGTCTCAAACTCTTGGGCTCAAGCAATCCTCTTGCCTTGGCCTCCCAAAGTGCTGGAATTATGCCATAATTTCTAGTAACTTCCAAATAGCCTCAATAAAATAAAATGGAATAAATAACAATGAAAACAATTTTTAACAGCCATAGATCCCAAAAGTGATATACTAGAAAGTAAATTTTCTACCCCTCCTCTTACCCCTGATAAAAATAACTTTTCCTAGTTATCAGGAATCATTAATATATGTACCCTATTCAAACAATGAGGGAGGTATGGACAAATGTTCCAAGACTTTTGGGTTCCACAGACCAATAACTTTTCAAAAACAATTTTAAGAATGGACAATTAGGGGAAAAAATTCTGAACAACTACTCTTTATTATCTTTAATTTCTCACACCACCCTCTCCTCTAATATAATCTCAGAATAAAGGACAGTTCTTTAATTGGGAAAAACTTATAGTATTGTCTTTATTTTTCAGTTTTTGCCATGGATTGATAGTTTTTGTGGACTGAATCAAATCTAAGGATCAATGGGATTAGATGGATTCTCAAGTCTTTTTCTGTATTGTGATTGTATGGTCTTCAACTCATTTTTAGGACCTGGAGTCCAGATGTGACCAGTGTCATGTCATAAATCATTAACTTTATTTGCTTGAATGAGTGTTCCAATTTCTCCTCATCCTTAATAACTAGTTATTGTCTGTCTTTTTAAATTTTAGCCACCTTAATGGGTATGAAGTAGTTTTGATTTGCAATTCCTTAATGACTAATGTTATTGAACATTTTCCATGTGTTTATTGGCTATTTGTTTAAATTCTTTAGAGAAATGTCTCTTTAAACCCTTTACTCATTTTTAAAATAGGTTGTCATTTTATTGTCGAGTTGTAATTCTTTGTATATTCTGGATAATAAATTCTTTGTTAGATATATGCTTTGATAACATTTTCATCCATTCTCTGAGTTATCTATTCACTTTCTTGATGGTGTCCTTTGAAGCACAAGTTTTAAATTTTGATGAAATCCAATTTATCTTTTCTTCTTTCACCATTTGTGCTTTTGATGTCATATATAAGAAACCATTGTCTAATCCACAGTCACAATGTTTTACTGTTATGTTGTCTTGAGTTCTAGCTCTTACACTTAGGTCTATAATCTATTTGGAGTAAATTTTTGTAAATGGTGTGAAGTGGGATTTGACTTAATTCTTTAGCATGTGGGTATCTAGTTGTTCCATTACCATTTATTGAAAAGATCATTCTTCCCTTATTGAATGATCTTGAACATATGTCAAAAATTAATTGACCATAGATGTATGGATTTATTTCTAGACTCTGTAGTATTCCATTGATCTATATTTCTATCCTTATCCCTTACCACACAGTTTTGAATACCGTAGCTTTGAAGTTGGGAAGTGTGAGTCCTATAATTTTGTTCTTTTTCAAGATTGTTTGGCTACTAAGGTTTCCCTGTAATTCAATATGGGTTTTAGGACTGGCTTTTCCATTTCCGTAAAAAAAGTCTGTTGGGATTTTGATTGGTATTGCATTGAATCTGGAGATCACTCTGGGGAGTCCTGCCATCTTTACATCATTAAGTGTCCCAACATGAATATGTAATGTCTTTCCATTTATTTAGGTCTTCTTTAATTTCCTTCATGAGTGTTAAGTAGTTTTCAGTGTACTGTATAAGTCTTGCATCTCTTTGGTTAAATTTATTCTTAGGTATTTAATCCTTTTCAATGCTTTTGTAAATGAGATTGTTTTCTTAATTTCCTTTCAGATTGTTCATTGCCAATGTATAAAAATGCGATTTTTATAAACTATTGATTTTGTGGTCTGCAAACTTGCTGAACTCATGTATTACTTCTAATAGTGTTTTCATAGATTGCTTAAAATTCTGCAACTAAAGATATTTTAATTTTTCCTTTCCAATCCGGATGACTTTTCTTTTTCTTGCCTAAATGCCATGACTAGAACTTCCAGTACAATGTTGAATAAAGTGGCAAGATAAGGTGTCTTTGGCTAATTCCTGATCTTATAAGGAAAACATTCAATCTTTCACCGTTAAGTATTATGTTGTGGAATTTTCCTAGATGCCTTGTACAGGATTGAGGAAGTTTCTGTCTGTTCCTAATTTTGTTGACTGTTTTTAATATGAAAGTGTGTTGAATTTTGTCAAATGCTGTTTCTGCATCTATTGAGATGATCATGTGGTTTCTGTTATTATATTAATATGGCATATATTCTTTTCTTTTAATTTTATTTTTTAAACTCTTATTTTAGGTTCAGGGTACATGTGCAGATTTGTTATATGGGTAAACTTGTGTAATGAATATAACATATTATATTGATTGACTTTTGGATTTCACAACCTTATATTCCTTGGATAAATCCCACTTGGTCATCCTTTTCGTATGTTGCTAAATTCAGTTTGCTAGTATTTCACTGAGGATTTTTGCATTTATATATTTAAAGGATATTGGTCTACAGTTTTCTTGTGATGTCTTTGCCTGATTCTGGTATTAGGGTAAACTGGTCTCACAGAATGAGGTGGGAACTGTTCCCCTCTTCTTTTTCATAGTTTGTGAAAGTTTGACCTTAATTTTTCTTTAGATGTTTACTAGAATTCATCGGTGAAGCTGTCTGAGTCTGGGGTTTCCTTTGTGGGAAGTTTCAAAAATTAATAATCCAATCTCTTTGTTACAGATCTATTCAGGTTTTCTATTTCTTTTTGAGTCAGTTTTGGTAAATTGTATCTTTCTAGGAATTTGTCAATGTCATCTAAGTTATTTAATTTGGTGGCCTACAGTTGTTCATAATATTCCCATAATAATCTTTATTAACGTAGGGCTGGTAAAATATCATTTCCTTCATTCCTAATTTAATAATTTGAGTGTTCTTATTTTTTCTTGGTCAGTTTAGTTTTGGGTTTGTCAATTTTGTTAATCTTTGCAAAAAAAAACCAAATTTGTGGTTTTAGTGATTTTCTCAATTGTTTTTCTATTCTCTATTTCATTTATTTCTGCTCTAATCTTTATTATTTTCTTTCTTCACTGGCTTTGCATTTATTTTCCTCTTCTTTTCGTTTTTTAAGGTGGGAGTTTAGGTTATTGATTTAGGATGTTTCTTCTGTTTTAAATATAGACTTTCAGAGTTATAAATTTCTGTCTAAGCATTGCTTTAGATGCATCCATAAGTTTTGGCATATTGTATTTTTTTTTTTTTAAAGACATGGTCTCACTCTGTTGACAAGCTGGAGTGCAGTGGTATGATCATGCATCACTGTAGCCTTGAACTCCCTGGGCTCAGATGATTCTCCTATCTTAGCCTCTCAAGTAGTTGGTACTACATGCATGTACCACCATGCCTGGCTAATTTTTGTATTTTTTTTTGTAGAAACAGGGTTTTGCCAGGTTGCCCAGGCTGGTCTTGAACTCCTCGGCAATCCACTCACCTTGGTTGGGATTACAGGCACGAGCCACAGCATCTGGCCTATTTCTGTTTCTATTCACCTCAAATTACTTTCTAATTTTTCTATGATTTCTCCTTTGAACCATTTATTATTTAGGGGTATATTGTTTAATTTCCACACATTTGTGAATTTCCCAAACTTCTTTTTATTATTGACTTCTAACTTAAATGTATTGTGATTGGAGAACATACATTGTGCAATTTTCACTATTTTAAAATTTACTAAGGCTTATTTTTGGTCTAACATAATCCTGGAGAATGTTCCATGTGCACTTGAGAAGAATGTGTATTCTGTTGTTAAGTACTTCTATAAATGTCTAAGATTAATTAGTTTATAATATATTTCACATCATTTTTTTCTTTGCTGATCTTCTCCTTAGTCTATCCATTATTGAAAGTGGGGTTTTGAAATATCTATTGCTTTGAGTTGTCTAATACTCCCTTTAATTCTACCACTTTTTGCTTCATGTATTTTGGAGCCCTGTTGTTAGGTGCATATGTGTTTATAATTGTTGTCTTTCTGAAGATTGACCTTTTTATCATAAAATACATTTCTTCACCTCTTGTAACTATTTTTATCTTAAAGTCCATTTTGTCTGAGATTAATGTAGCTACCCCAGCTCTTTTTTGGTTACTGTTTGCATGCCATATCTTTGTCCATCCTTTTATTTTCAACCAATTTGTGTCTTTGAATCTAAAGTGTGTCTCTAATAGTATTGTTGGGTTATTTTTAATAAAAACCCTCATTCTGGCAATCTTTGCCTTCTGGTTAGGGTGTTTAAGCCATTTACTTTTGATTAAATTACTGATAAGCTAGGATTTTAATTTACCATTTTGCTATTTGGATTTTTACATGTCTTATGTATTTTTTGTACCTTTATTCCTCCATTATTGCTCTCTTTTGCATTAAATGGGTATCTTCCAGGAAAAGCTTTTAATACTCTTGTTTCTTTTACTGTTTTTTATTTTTTATTTTTTTGAGATGGAGTCTCACTCTGTTGCCCAGGCTGGAGTGCAGTGGCATGACTTCAGCTCACTGCAACCTCCACCATCTGGGTTCAAGCAATTCTCCTGCCTCAGCCTCCTGAATAGCTGGGATTACAGGCATGTACCACCATACCTGGCTAATTTTGCGTATTTTTAATAGAGATCAGGTTTCACCATGTTGGCCAGGCTGGTCTTGAACTCCTGACCTCAAGTGATCTGCCCACCTCAGTCTCCCAAAGTGTTGGGATTACAGGTGTGAGCCACCACACCTGGCTATTTTTACTATTTTGTAAAAAGATACTTTCTTAGTAGCTGCTCTGGGGATTACAATTAACATCTTAATTTAAGACAATCTACTTCAGATTAATAGTAATCTAATTTCAAGAGTATACAAAAAGTTTTCTCTAGTATTATTCTGTTCCTTCTCCTTCCTTTGTAGTAGTATTATTATTTATTTATTTATTTACTGTGAAACAGAGTCTTGCTTTGTCACTAGGCTGGAGTGCAGTGGTGTGATCTCGGCTTACTGCAACCTCCATCTCTTGGATTCAAGCAATTCTCCTGCCTTAGCCTCCCGAGTAGCTGGGACTACAGGTGTGCGCCACCACACCCAGCTAATTTTTGTACTTTAGTAGAGACAGGGTTTCACCATGTTGGCCAGGATGGTCTCAATCTCATGACCTTGTGATCCACCCTACAAATTACATCTTTATACATTAGAAGCCCATTAATACAGTTTTATAATGATTGCTTTATGATGTAACTGTCTTTTAAATGACAGAAGAATTACAAAGAAAAGTAAATTTATACTATCAATTATATACATATATACAGTCTTTATTGGTGCTCCTTATTTCTTAATGTGGATTTGAATTGCTGTCTAGTATCCTTTCATTTCAGTATGAAGGACTCCCTTTAGTATTTCTTGTAGGGTAGGTGTGCTAATGACAAGTTCTCTCAGTTTTTGATTATATGGGAATGTCTTAATTTCTCCTCATTTTAAAGGATAGTTTTGCTGGATACAGAATTCTTGAATGGCAGTTTTTTCTTTTAGCACTTTGAATATATGATCCCATTGCCTTTTGGCCTTCATGATGTGGGATGAGAAGTCAGCTGTTAATGTTATTGAGGAGCCCATGTACATGAAAAGTAATTTTTGTCTTGCTACTTTCAAGATTCTATTTGTCTCTGTCTCTTGACAGTTTGAGTAGCATATGTCTAATTGTGGATCTCTTGAATTTCTCCTATATGGAGTTCACTGAACGTCTTGAATGTGAAGATCAACATTTTTCATCAAATTTAGTAAGTTTTCAAGCCATGATCTCTTCAGATATTCTGCCCCTTTCTCTCTTCTCTCCTCTCCTTCTGGGGATGTGTACGTTGATATGCTTGATGGTGTCCCACAGGTCTCTGAGGCTTTGCTCATTTTTCTTCATTCATTTTTCTGTTCCTCAGAGTGGATTATCTCAATGGACTTAACTTCAATTTCATGGATATTTTCTTCTGCCAGATCAAATTTGCTATTAAGGCCCTGAAGAAAATTTATCATTTCAATTATTGCACTTTTCAATGCCAGAATTTCTATTTGGTTCTTAAAAAATGTTTTTTCTCTCTTAACTGATATTCACATTTGGTGAGACATCTTTCTCATACTTACTTTAATTCTTTAGACATGGTTTTCTTTAGTTCTTTGAATATATAATAGCCAATTAAAGTCTTTGTCTAGTAAGTTAAAAATCTGGACTTCCTTGGGAACAGTTTCTATTGACTGCTTTTTCTGACTGCCATATGTTCCTATTTTTTGCCTGCCTTGTACTTTTTTCTTTTTTTTTGCTGAAAATTAAACACTTTAAATAATTATAATGTAGTAACTTTGAAAGTTATATTCTTGTACCACCCGTCCAACCTGGGTTTTCTGTTGCTGTTTGTTATTCTTTGTTTAATGACTTCTCTGGAAAAATTTTGTAAAATTTGTATTCTTTGTTGTGTGTGGCCACTGAAGTCTCTGCTTAGTTAGCTTAGCAGTCAGCTGATGATTAGAGATTTCCTTAAGTGCCCTGAACCAGTAAGTTTTCCATCCTTTGTTGAGTGGCTCTATAAGTGTTGGGCATGCCTTTACTATTTTGGCAGTTTATAGCTCTGTCTTAGCTTTCAATTCCTGGTTGTGCAGATCCTTAAGGTCAGTCAGAAGTGAGTGATTCAGGCCTTCTTAGCTCTTTTCTGGGCATGCATGCAGTCCTACACATGTACCCTATATGTAGTTTCCCGAGAATGTCAAAGCTTTTCTTTTTTTTTCATTTTTTGAGATGGAGTCTCACTCTGTCACCTGGGCTGGAGTGCAGTGGCGTGATCTTGGCTCACTGCAACCTCCGCCTCCTGGGTTCAAGTGATTCTCCTGTCTCAGCCTCCTGAGTAGCTGGGATTACAGGCACCCGCCACTATGCCTTGCCAGTTTATTTATTTTTTATTTTTAGTAGAGATGGGATTTCATCATGTTGGCCAGGCTGGTCTTGAACTCCTGACCTCGTGATTCACCTGCCTTGGCCTGCCAAAGTGCTGGGATTACAGGCGTGAGAAACGTGCCCAGCCAAATGTCAAAGCTTTTTAAAGCCCCTTATCACCACTGCACTCTCAAGACTTTCAATTTTTTTTTGCCAGTCTCTTATTTGCTCTACCTCAGGCAGCTGTGATGTTAAACAATTGCTGCTGCTTTTTGTTCTTAATGCCTTGATGTCAGGACTTTTGTCACTGAGAAAGCTCTGAGTCAGGTTAAATAAAGACATGCCTCTGTAAATGGGCTTTTCCAGAGAGCTGCCACAGATGCCAAGTAGTGACAACTGTCTGGAGATGCGGTTTTATTGTGGGGGTGGGGAGGCACCAAGCCTTTCTGCTCCTTTCAATAGCTCCTAAGCTTCTGTTTCTTGGTTACTGACTTTCAAGGCTACTGTGGAGTTGGGAAGAGCGGGATGGAAATAGGTCAAGTTAAAATGCCATGAAGCTTACTGTTCTTACTAAGATTCAATCATTTTTCTTTAATAAATGTTTGTCATTGTTGCAAGCCGTTGGTTAATTTCTAGAGTTCTGAAAATACTGATTTTGGCAATTCTGGCCTGCATTCACATTGCTTTTATGGAGGAACAGATTTTCAGAGATCCTTATTCCACCATTCCAGAGGTGCTTTGTCCATACACATTAATTTCTGTATTGTACTTTAATATAAACATGTAGTCAGGACATGCTGAAGAATACTCAATTTTTGCTCCAGACTGCTATACTTTTTGAGTTGCCTATTTTTTCCTGCCATTTCTCTTATGTTAGTGCTATGAGTTTTCCCACAGCAGTCCCTCTTCCCTGGTTAATGTTACATCTAACATATTGTAGGGTCAATAATGAAATAGCCTAGTTGGTTAGCAACATGTTAAGATAGGCTTGGAGGGTCCACTGCAAAGTCTGTTGACTTCGTGACATTGCAGCTGCTCAAAACTCATTTTGGCTTTTTCTCTCCGATGTCCTGGAAGATATGATTTCTAGGCATTTGAGTTTAGAGAAAGTGATTTGGTGATGGGTGATTGCCGAGTCAGATTACACCTATAGTTGTCTACCTAATTCTGGGAAACATGTTTTAACAGAAACTTTGACCAAATAGCCATTTAAAAGTAATAGTAACCAGGATGGTGAGTGGGGAAGTTCCAAAACTGTGCCATATGAGGAATAATTGGGAAGAGTGGTGAATCTCATTGGGAGAAAAAAAACTTGGGGGGGATAAAGAAAAATTTATTGGGGTACATGATAGGGCTGATATGGCAATAAAATCATTTTGTCTCCCTCTACCATAATCATGCCCTCATGATTATGACCAATAAGCAAAGGTTATAACAGGCAGGTTTTGAATCAGTATAGAGAAATTTCTAATAATGAGAACTGTCCAACAATGTTATTGGCTAAGCATCTACCATAGCCCAGGCCTGTGGAGACAAAACCAAGTAAGACAGAATTGCTATCTACAGCAGCTCATAAAGTGAAAACCTCATCCTTAAAGTGATGAAACAAAGACTAACTGACCATCTGTTAAGGATCCTGAATTAGATAGTGAAGTATGTGACAACTAAAGTCCACTCTAAAATGAACATTTTAAGAGTCTGGCACCCCTACAGAGCTGGCAGAGAACTTTAGGGCGAGATAAAATATTCATTGAGAGTCTAGAAGATTCCAAGGAATACAATATATTTTTGAACTGTGCTCACCAAGGTCTTTTATGGTCACGAAATTATGTATGAAGTTGGCAGCAAGTCAACCTTACCTTAGGGTTTCACTGACACCTAGTGGTTATAATCTAAAATGTTAAAAGACAACATACAATGATCACAAAAATGTTCGTATTTATAAAAATCATAAATGAATATAGTGATAAAAATTCATTCATTTTGAATTCTCTTTTCAAAAAGAAGTTAAAATTGCTTAAATGGCATCTTATATCTGAAATATTTTTATGCTAAAATTTCAAACTCTTTAACACTTGATTATAAGCAAGCCTATAATGCTATTAGCTTATCTTTTAACTCATATCTTTCAGTTATGTTATTCTCTTGTTTATGAAAAACAGAAGAACATCATCTAAATGATCAGTTTATTGAATTTTAGTAATGTAAGTTGAGATCATGAAACATACAATCTAATTCAAAAGAAGAATCATAGGTACCAATTCAACACCATTAGCACTACTTTCACAATAGTGACACCCCACTTATAACACTCTTTTTTGGGTCTCTGACTGTGAACAAGATTGTGGAAGGTTGGTTGAGGTTAGGCCTAGGCATTACGGTTAAGAAATAACAGATGCTAATTAGTTAGTGGGGAAGTGAAGCTCATGTTTAGGCCTTTTCATAATGTCTTTATGCTAAATAAATTAAATGAAGTAAACAGCCATGGCTATTGAACTACAGAATACATAAAAATACATTCTGTGATTCACCTATAAACAAAAGAGTAAAGCAGAATGTGTCAAATTTTCCATAGCAGGTAAAGCATAGAAAAAAAATCTAGCTGATATAGTTGTTATGTTTCAACAACATAAAATGAAATGTTTCTAGGATAGAAGAAATTGGTACCATTAACATTTGGATGGTTATGGTACCATAACATTTTGATATAATATGCAAAATGCTGCTTCCCCAACTATGACCGCCATTATAACTTTTAATGGAATTATAGGCTCCAAATACTTTCTTCTGCAAGTTACCCACCCTTTCATATGTTTTTAAAATGAAACACTAGACTGATAAATCAGTTCTTTTTCTTAATTTAAAAGAAAAAAGCTTTGAGAAAGGCAAACCCCCTTCTCCATGGTGAAGACTACATGCTTGCATGTGAGGACTCAAGCCCAGTGGTCTGGCTTTGAATCTGCTTTCAAACTCCACCTTGTGTTGCTCAGAGTGACTTTGCAGGCCACGCTCATAGCCCTCAGATGGCTTAAATGTAATGATGCCTATGCTAGAGAAAATTTCATTCTACCTCTCTGATCTATTTTAGTGATATGGGAATTTATGTTAAGAATGACAATTTCTTTTTCTTTCTTTTTTTTTTTTTTGAGACGGAGTCTTGCTCTGTCACCGGGCTGGAGTGCAGCGGCGCGACCTCCTGGGTTCAAGTGATTCTTATGCCTCAGTCTCCCGAGTAGCTGGGATTATAGGCATGCGTCACCATACCCAGCTAATTTTTGTATTTTTAGTGGAGACAGGGTTTCACCATGTTGGCCAGGATGGCCTCGATCTCCTGACCTCGTGATCTGCCTGCCTTGGCCTCCCAAAGTGCTGGGATTATAGGCGTAAGCCACCACACCCGGCCAGGAATGACAATTTCAATATATTTACTATCTGTTCTTCATTTTATTATTATTTAGCTTCTGTTAACTCAGTGTTAGCTGAAACATCAGAAAGAAATAAAACTTATGAGAAGGGTATTAGCAAATGTGTGAAAAAGTCAAGTACTGTTTATACTCCAAAAAGTATTTGGAGCTTATAATTCCTTTAAAAGTCATACTGAGGGTCATAGTTGGGGATGTAGCATTTTGCATATCACATCAAACTGTTATGATGGTCCCATAACCATCTGAATGTTAATAGTACCCATTTTCTTCTATGCTGGAAGAGTTTTATGTTCCCAAACCATTTGCAAAAGTTGCTTACAGTTATGAAAAGTCTTCTAGACATATGGAACCTAAGAATGCTATCTTGTAATTTCCCAGAAAGTCCTTCAGGTACTTGAAGAAATTCTTCATAAACTTTGTTTCCATTTAACATTCTTCTCTCCAGATAACATATAATGTGTTACCTCTAAGCTTTCTCACAGCGACAATGCCCTAACCTCTCAATTATTTTGATTTCTCTCTAGGATGGACTAGGATTGCAATTAAGCTTAACCAGTTCAGTGTGGGGTTTATAGATATCTACTTCTTTCAATAAATTGAATTAATTTATGGATTTATAGAGCATAGGTCTGGCATCTGCAAAGTGTTTAATGGACTGGATCATTCTAAAGGAGAATTAGAAGATTATGAAAGATAATCAACTTCAAATCAATTTTAAGGTTTTTTTTTTTTGAGAAGGAGTCTCACTCTGTCTTCCAGGCTGGAGTGCAGTGGCGCGATCTCGGCTCACTGCAACCTCCGCCTCCCGTGTTCAAGCGATTCTCCTGCCTCGGCCTCCTGAGTAGCTGGGACTACAGGTGCCCGCCACCACGCCTGACTAATTTTTGTATTTTTAGTAGAGACGGGGTTTCACCATGTTGGCCAGGATGGTCTTGATCTCCTGACCTTGTGATCCGCCTGCCTCGGCCTCCCAAAGTGCTGGGATTACAGGTGCAAGCCACCGTGCCTGGCCCAATTTTAAGGTTTCTAAAAGCTAGTTGTAGATATTTTAAAATTGGTAATAACAATAATAATCAGCAATAGCCCTAATTAAAAATTTTTGGTCTTCTTGCCAAAATTAATATCTTATAAATGTTAGGATGATCATAAAGACTGTTTAACAAGATGGAACCAGCCCCATGATGGATAAGAGGCGTGATTCCAATTTTTAAAATGCTATTAGTGCAATAATTTATTTTAAATTATTCTTTGTACCTCACAAAAACAGCAAGTTATTAGAAGAAAGTATACCAGATTAGAAGTAAGGAGATTTGGATTCCAGCTTTAGTCCTATTCCCTACTAGGCTCGTCATCTATTGCAAATCACTTTAAATTCCTGAGCTTTGGTTTCTTTATTTACATCATTTACTTCATTTAGCTCCACTGCTAGGCTGTAAAAAACATGTAGTATTCGTGACTGTTCACCGCTGTATCTGCAGTCTCATTCCCAAGGCAGAGCAGGCACTCAGCTAATGTTTGCTGGCTGACCGAATTAAGGATTAGAAACTAAAAAATACAAATATTGTCATGCATTCTTCAGAAGGTTGCCATGAGGCCTAAGTGTTATAGTGAAATACTATATGGGAAAATGGGTGCATTCTTTTAAAATTTTTTAAATGTGGATACATTCTTGGTACCTAACTTAAAAGAAATTAAGGTAAATGGGTTAATAATTATAAGTTATTTTAAATCACTACGTTTATATATGTGTAAGTATTTTGCGAAAAACAGACTCAGCCAGGTGCGGTGGCTCATGCCTGTAGTCCTAGCACTTTGGGAGGCCAAGGTGGGCAGATCACTTGAGCCCAGGAGTTGGAGACCAGCCTGGGCAACACAGCAAGAGCCCATCTCTACAAAAAATACAGTAACTAGCCAGACGTGGTGGTGCACACCTGTAGTCCCAGCTACTTGGAAGGCTGAGGTGAGAAGATCACCTGAGCCTGGGAGGTCAAGGCTGCAGTGAGCTGTGATGGTGCTGCTGCACTCCAGCCTGGGTGTCAGAGTGAGACCTTGTCTCCAAAAAATAAAAATAAAAATAAGTAAAAAGAAAAATAGGCTCTATTTATCTAAAGGCTCTGAAGACTTCAGTTATTGCTTACGATTAGGAAGGCTTTGGAGAGAAAATAACTTGTGATTTTAATACTGCAGGTAAATTCTCTAACACATTCAGATTAAAAAGTCAAATGTTAATTCCCTATGCTACAGCACAGTCATAATATGTAATACCTTAACCATATTTTGACAAGATAAGAGATTGATGCCACTAACCTTGAAAGATCTAAGACATTCTCTTAAGTGAAAAATAAAATATGTAAATAATGTTTATATTTATATAAAGAAAATCAAGCTATATATTTCTAGATTTTCAAATACATTTGTATAGGAATACCTCAAAAAAGGCCTAGATAGCTCATACCTGATAACAGTGATCTACCTTTGAGGAGGGGAGTGAGACTGTATGAGGGCAAACAGGGACTTTTGCTTTATTGGCATTGCCTGAAATTTTTTCATAGTAGGAATGTGAAAAAATAGATGAGAGCATATACTAATCCACTGAATTCCTTAAGCCTTACTTGAATATTGAAGATGGTCCTTGCAGGAAGGGAGCACTGTGGCTTTCAGTAGCACAACGTTTAGGCATTCTCTCTCTTTTTTTTCTTTTTTTTTTGAGACGGAGTTTTGCTCTTGTTGCCCAGGCTGGAGTGCAATGGTGCAAACTTGGCTCACCGCAACCTCCGCCCCAGGTTCAAGTGATTCTCCTGCCTCAGCCTCCCAAGTAGCTAGGATTACAGGCATGCGCCACCATGCCTGGCTAATTTTGTATTTTTAGCAGAGATGGGGTTTCTCCTTGTTGGTCTGGCTGGTCTCAAACTCCCGACCTCAGGGGATCTGCCAGCCTCAGCCTCCCAAAGTGCTGGGATTACAGGTGTGAGCCACCACGCCTGGCTAGGCATTCACTCTTACAGTAGGTGAAATAGTTTTCCTATAGAGAAGAAAAGCTATATGGCTGACAGCACTGATATTGAACATTAAATATCATACTTACTAAAAAAAACTAACCCGCAAAATTAGAAGGGCTAAGGAAAAATATATTTGCTGGTTACATATAATGGTAATAGAAAGCTAGTAATTAAATATAATTCTCATTAGAATTACAATATAGCCTTTGAATATTCTATTAAATAAATGAATTCAATTTAAGTTTCATTCTCAAATTAATTTTATCACATTTGATTGGCCCAGTCCATTACACAAAAAGACATACTGACTAAATACAACATAATTTCTATAACCTGAGGGGACTCGCACATCATTACCTGATTGCTTGCTGACTTGGCTGTTGATTGGTTTCATGACTTTGAAGCTTCCCTCCTATGACAATTCTTCCTCCCCTAAGGACTTCCTCATTGCTGTTTCTTCATCTTGCCCTAAGAGTTCTCTCTCTTCCATAAACTTCCTTTCCTGGGATGACCTTCTGTCATATGTTGTTCTTTGTAGGTAGCCTCCATCTAAAAGCAGCTCCCGTGTCTGTGACATGCTCTGCTCCAGGAATTCAGAGGCCTCCAGTGACTCTGTCATTGCTCCAGGACCACCAGGCTCATCCTCGGGTTCTGGAGACTGATGTGTGTCTTCCCCATGCTCATACATACACAGCCTCTTTTCAACCACCTCACGGATCAACACTGAAAAGTTAAATGTTCAGACATCACTATGATTTTCATATTATGGTATATTTCAGGAGTTATAATGCTCACTTATAGATGATTACAAAAACCTTCACGAAGCCTCATCTCTTTCCTATGTCATAACCTTTTTTGGAAGTCAGCATACTTCACACTTAATGCATTAAATATAAAATATATTCTGTTTTCACAGAGTATCATTTATAAAGTAATGGCAGAAGATATTAATAGATAGCAAATTATAGAAGAGCCAAAAATAATATTGAGGGTAAAAATTTGCACTTTTATTAATACAATTGATATACTAAAAGTTTAAATATTCAAACTGTAAAATTAATCTTTCTTTCAGTTATTCAATTTATTCTTTCTACTAAAAACTTTAGAGATGAATTTTTGGATAAAATAACTTACTGTCAAGCACTGTTCTTCCCACCATGCTATATTCCATGGTTTTTTCAACTTCATTCATTAGCCATGGAAGAAATCCTATCTCAATATCTGTAATAAAAGAATTCATTGATTTTCATGTATTATCAGAGGAATAATGCGCTTTTCTCTTAATGTAATAGACTCATCAACATTGGTTTCTTAATATAAAATGTTAAGTAGACTCATACAGCATAACTTTTGCCATATTCCTTATATATGTTCTGGTCAGTTTCCTTTCTGTTGCATAAGTGATTTTTTATTTTTATTTTTTTATTTTTTTTGAGACAGAGGTTTACTCTGTTGCCCAGGCTGGAGTGCGGTGGCGCGATCTCTGCTCACTGCAACCTCCGCTTCCCAGGTTCAAGTGGTTCTCCTGCCTCAGCCTTCTGAGTAGCTGGGACGACAGGCACACGCCACCACACCTGGCTAATTTTTGTATTTTTAGTAGAGACAGGGTTTCACCATGTTGGCCAGGATGGTCTCAATCTCCTGACATCGTGATTCACCCGCCTCGGCCTCCCAAAGTTCTAGGATTACAGGTGTGAGCCACCACACCTTGCCCAATATTTTAAGAACTATGAGGCCTTCCTTGGAGTCAAGGCATTTGGAGTTTCCTTCATAGGTGCAATCTGAGATGGATCAGGGAGGCAGGGGGAGGATGTGGGTTTGGGAGAACTCCAATCCAAATGCAATGCAAATCTGGGATTGAGCAATGCCAGTAAAAGAAAGTCTCCACCTGAAGCCCAGGGCCTAATGGAAGGAAGCTGATCAGACTCAGAGAATGCAGTGAGAGGGCATTTGAGGAGGCAGTCATCTAGAAATAGGTCAGAAACTAGGTGTTTCCATCAGTATCAAGTTTGTTCAAACTGAAATCTACTGTGTAAGCATTTTAAAAATATGGTCTATTACAATATACATTTTAAAGTTTCAAAATAGCATTTTTTGGGGCAGGCATCTAATTTTATTTTTCAATAGGATGAAATGGAGAGTGATAGAATATTATATTCACTACTATAAATAATTTTTATCTCAGGTATGAATTTCATTTGCAAGCTTTTAAATGATCTATAACTTACTTTTTTGGTAATCTGTGATAGAAAAAAGGCTACTGGTCTCTCTGGCTAACAGTTAGAGTCCAAGCTAGAGCCCAGGACAGCAGGATGATAGCCGAGAATGAACACTGGACTTGGAGTCTGAGTTCCAAGTCAGTTTGAGGCCTAATATTTCCACTGCCTGAGGATTTGGGAGCAAGGCATTTAACTTCTCTGAGCTTCAGTTTCTATTTCTGAAAAAATGGGAATTCTATCTGACCTGTCTATCCTACAGGGTTATTGAGAGTATCAAATGATATCACCTATGAAAAATACTATGTATATTAATAATATTTGTCTGTGATCTGACCTCTTTGTATTGAATTGAATATGTAATCAGTGAAAATTATCATTACTAACATGTGTCCCAAGATACTACTGGCCAACAAAATAGGACCTATACACCAAGCACGGTGGATGTAAGTGCTTTTCACTCTGAGGAAGGTGGGTGGTGGTGAGGACATGCAACTCTTCCTTTCCACTGGCTGAGCAGCTAGGAACGTGGACTTTGAGGGGATACAGACAGACAGCTATCAGGCTATGGGCTCCCTAGTGGCAGAGATCAGGGATCCTTCTTTTTCTCCAATACCAAACACTGCCTGGAAGAGGGTAAGCGCCTAACTAAATGAATAAATGACCTTGATAGCTGCCCTCAAAGGGTTTTTGATTTGAATAAGTCAGCTGAGAAAAAGTTAATAACAACTACTTACGCATACACAGGACTTTATAGTTTACACAGTTTCATATATTTTATGACTTAACTCCTAAATAATTCTCATTTCAGGCTGGGCACGAGTGGCTCACGCCTCTAATCTCAGCTCTTTGGGAGGCCAAGGCAGGCGGATCACTTGAGGTCAGGACCAGCCTGGCCAACATGGCGAAACCCCGTCTCTACTAAAAAATACAAAAATTAGCTGGGCGTGGTAGCAGGTGCCTGTAATCTCAGCTACTCGGAAGGCCGAGGCAGGGAGAATTGCTTGAACCCAGGAGGCGGAGGTTGCAGTGAGCCAAGATTGCGCCACTACACTCCATCCTGGGCAAAAGAATGAGACTCTGTCTCAAAAAAAAAAAAAAAAATTCCTCATTTCTCACATGAAGAAACTGGAGGTCATCAAGCTAGCTAATGATAAAGCTGCAACCCAAACTCAAGTTTTCAATACCAAGTCCATATTTCTTTCTACTATACAAATGTTGCTTCTCAATAAACAAATACTAATATCCTTAAATCAAGATCTTTAAAATATACATCTCATTAACAACTGTACTTACTTTAAACAACTAAAATTGACTTTGTGTCAGAAATAGAAAGACTCCAATTCAAAATAAAAATGGACATAAGATAAATTTGAACCATTAAGAGGATGCTTATTACAACAAAATTAATCTAACAAAAATATCTACAAACCTCTTTCAATGGGATCATAAAAGTAGCCACTATCCCTGAGGCTGCCAAAAACAGACGGGAGAAGGTCAGCCAGGTAACGCTGTGCAAATGCTCGGGCGGCGATTTTTTGTGATGTCTCGTTGTGCTTGTGCATTATTTCCCACTGCTGTTTCTTACGCCGTTCCTGCCAAGAACGACAGAGGTGGTTATTTAGCTCTTATGCCCTCCCCAAGTGCTGAATCTAGTGAAGTTAGTAAGTACAAGAATCCAGACTTATCAAAAAATGGACAGCGAGGTGTCTATCTATTAAAGGTTCATATTTTTCATCAAAAATTTAATGAATTTCAACAGCTAGTGGCTACTGAATTCAGGAAGTTATGAAAGATGGAATTTAAGGTAAAACATGTCACTATTCAAGTAAAATAATTTCAAGACATAATGCTTGACAGTATAGATGGTAGCAAAAAGATAATCACCATTATATGTATTTTAAATTAATATTATCATGAAATATTACTGGTAAGAAAAATTACCAGTGGGCCAATGAATGAGTTCATTTGTAATAATTCCCTGAATTTGTAAAGCTGAATGGTTCTGAAGATTATGAAAGCCTCTTATTTTTTGTTGTTGCTTCCTTTAGACCATGTAATATTTATAAAGGTGATGAATCCTGTTCTCTACTCTCATGTGGAAGTGGGAGCATTAATACGTTTTCTAATTAAATCTATTTTCAAACTTTAAACAAATATAAATCTAGGTGATTCTTGTATCCAGTTTTCCATAATATGTTTCCAAATAGTAAATAAACAAATATTTTTTGATAAAGACTTCACGACTCATTTCAACAAAGTTTATTTTGCCACAGTTTTTTTATATCTATAAATTTGCACAATCCTTATTGTAAGCCCTATGCTCTTTACACAACTAAGTATTCATCTTAGAATTAAAGTCCATTTGATAGGTATTGAGTAGGATTTCCCAACAATTATGCTACTTTTCACAGCATAGTAAGTTAGGCCCCTTGGGAATTTTTTCTTAACTGTTTCAGGTATTAAGATATGACTTTATAATTTGTTCATCAGTATACAACAAAGGCTGACAGTTATTGCCAGAACCAGAAAGACTATCTTTTCTAGTGCTTCCTAACTGTAGGCTACTGGCACATGTAAAAAAACTGGATTGTAAACCTTTCCTTATTGAAGATTCTAAAAATCTAGAATCTGAAAAATATTCTACGAGAACCCAAATAGGTCTGGTGTGTCACCAAGGGTATAAAGAAGGGCCTGGTCACCGAGAAAAAGAATCAGAATTCTATCCAGATCCCCTGCTTTTTACCCACAGTCTCTCTCCAATACATTCACTTTTTCCTTCCTTCCATCTTTCTGCCACTGACTTATGGCAAACCAACATACATCTTTCTTTCTTTAGGACTCCTGATATTTAAGAGAGTCTTCCAACTGGCACACATGTAACTTAGGAACTTTCACTTCATTTAGAAACTTTTGGAAACTCAATTTAGGTATATTTATGTAAGCTGGAGTTTAAAAGATGTAATTCCGTCCATGAAAGATCTATGATCTATAGGAGAGACTTGAGCAAAAATACTATAGATCTTTTTCTAATATATTCCCAAAGATCTTTAGTTTTATGATATATCATCACATGTAATTTTGAACATAATATGCTAACTAGCCAAAAGACTGCCTAAGAAAGAAAATATAATTATATATACTTTTTCTTCTCGGTGTCGCCTCTCTTGCTCTTCAAGTCGTTGAACTTCAGCACGTTCACTATTCCGTAGTTCTTCATACTCACGCTGACTGGCCCGCAGGTTAGCCAGCTCTTCTTCTTCCATTACTTCCAGAAGAGACTGCTCAATTGTCTTCCCCACCAAAACTTCTAACACTGGTTTAACTTCAAGATCAAAGTCAAAGAGCTTAAACATACAAAATAAAGCAAACTTAAAATTTTAATTACGAATCAAATGCTCAACAAAAATATAATGAATAGCAATAACAAGATATTATTTATTAAGTGTCTCCTGTGTGCCAGACACTGTGCTGGTGCTTTATTCATGGTTTCTAATCCTCAAAATGAACAACATTTTGTTTACAGGCAAAAATCTGTTAAGTCAAAGTTATGAAAAAAACCTACGCATTCATCAAAATGAACCCTGACACTGAAGAGAAATATCCTCGTCTGTCTTATTCTTTGCCTTTTCTGTTTGATTTTTATTTATTTTTAAATAACAGTTTGATGAATGAAGGAACAAGAATGAGAGATATTTTGGTGATTCATTGCTAGGATTTATAGGCAAATATAACTTTCAGGTAGCTTCTGAAGATTTATTTTATTTCCCAATTTCAATGACAGTTCTTTCAAGTTCCCACAAGTGTTAAAACTCACTTAGGTCATTATGAACATAATCATTGCCTTCTCTTCTTCAATTTCATAAACAGGCCTATTTATGCATTCCACACTGATAGAAAAATGTAATTATTAAAATTTTTTTTTTAAATGAGAGAATATCTTTACAAAAGTTAAATAATCCAAAAGCAACTAACTGTGGAATTTTTTATACCAGGGATATTATTTTTCCCTATTTAGTACAAATCTATCTTATACATATATACATTAAGCAAGCATATAAACAAACAAAAATCAAATGTGGAAATATTCTAAAAATATTTCAAATGATTTTGTTTTTAATCAGCAAAGAAATCGGAACATGGTATGTTAAAACATTTCTGAGTACTATATGATAAAACCATTATAGATAATATCTGGAAAGAAATCCAAGAAGTAGAATCTGATTGTGAAGTGGTTCTTGCTCATATTAAGCATTATCTACACCTAACTTTACCTCATTTATAAAGATTATAGAGGGAAGCCCAAAGGATGTACTGTACCTCTCCTTCTAGTATTTGGGTGGCCACATCTTTGCCAGTTTTGGCAGGAATAAAGAGTGGTGTTGGTGGTCTGTCCAAAAATGCATCTGTTTGGCATTCCATATCAACTTCTATTATGCGATCAGCAATTTCTTCAAGGTATAATTCTAAGAAGAATATCATATATATCGAGTTTAAAATTCTGGTCTAAGGCCAGGCATGGTAGTTCATGCCCATAATCCCAGCACTTTGGGAGGCCGAGGAGGGTGCATTACTTGAAGCCAGGAGTTTGAGACCAGCCTGGCCAACATGGCGAAACCCCATCTCTACAAGAAATACAAAAATTAGCTGGGCGTGGTGGTGCGTGCCTGTGGTCCCAGCCACTCGGGAGGCTGAGGTGGGAGAACTGCTTGAACCTGGGAGGTGGAGGTTGCAGTGAGCCAATATCGTGTCACTGTACTACAGCCTGGGCAACACAGTGAGACTCTGTCTCAAAGAAAAAAAAATTCTGGTCTATTTCAAGCATATATGTGTATTTGAAATTTTAGCTCCTTCAAAACATATTTAAATGAATCAGAAAATAAGTATTAGAATAAAAGTGCTCAAATGGGCTTACCTCACATACTGAACTAAGAGTTTTTAAATATTTGGAAGACCATAGATAGAGTTAGGCTAGAACATTTACTGAATGTCTAGAAAGCACTGAGCTTTGTATTTGAAAATGGAACTAAAGAAGAACATGAGACCGTAGATGTGTATAAGATGCAGAGTACAACAGTGGATAAAAAGTCAATTATATATATATATATATATATATATATATATATATATATATTTGAGTCCTAAGATAGTAAACATATACAGATTTGAAAATTCCTGGATAGTTAAAAAAATCATGTACCAAGTCACCAGGTTATTTGATATTCCCTCTACACTACAGATTATAAACAGATGTATGAAAACAAATTTCATGTTAGGAGTAATTTATATGAGGCAGGGGTAATGTGGTATCAAGCAAAGAACATGAGCACTAGAGTCAGATGTTGGGCATAGGACTTGGCCAAGTCATGTCCTCTCTGGGCCTCAGTTTCTTCATTTGGAAAATGGGCTATAACTACCTGTCACACAGAATCTTTGTAATAATGAAGGAAATACACAGATAAAGGACCTGGTTCAGTCTCTGAGGAAATAGCCAAAAAAAGCTGGCTGCTATTATATCACTTAATATTCTGATGGTGTAAAGAAACATGAAAACTTAGCTCTTTGGTTAATGACAGCCATACACTCATTCTAGACTTGGCCTAAAGGCAGGGGTTAAAGCATGGAATGGTCCCTTTTGCCTTTACCATGCAGAAATAATCCCGATGGATCCACTCACCATCTTGGAAGGGTACAAAGTGAACCTGAAGTAGTGACAGTGGTCCAAGGAAAACACCAAGCACTGTCTGATGACCAAGATTCTGTCAACAACACAGCTAGACCCTATAGGACCAGGTAAGCCTCTACAGCTGAGCAGAGCGAGACAAGTACGCAAATCCTGGCACCTGTCTCAGGGGTGCCTGTGTGGCCCTGGGGAATGTGCACAGCGACAGAACCAGAGGACAGAAGAGGCTGGTGTGAGAGGCAGACGACTCAGATGGGAGTGGGTTTACTAATCTCAAAAGACAAACAAAAGGACAAAATAGAACTATATTGGTCTCCTTTCCTGTAAGTCCTAATGAAAAGAACAGTGATTCATGTTGGGCTATGAGAAAGGATCCCAGTTTGAGAACAGAATATGTGAAAACTGCTAAGAGAGAATTTGGTCACAAAATTATTTATTTATTTGTTGTTCAGGCTGAGTGCAGTGGTGTGATCATAGCTTACTGAGGCCTTGAAATCCTGGGCACATATGATCCTTCTGCCTTAGCCTACTGAGTAGCTGGAATTACAGGCGTGCACCACTATGCTCAACCAATTTTAAAATTTTTTTGTAGAGATGGCGTCTTTGGTCTCGAACTCCTGGGCTCAAGTGATCCTCCCGCCTTGCCTCCCAAAGTGTTGGGATTACAGATGTGAGCCACCGTGCTTGGCCAAAATTCTTCTTTTTGTTTTTTTTAAACCCCATCCCAGACTTCCAGCCATATCCACTATGATAATAGTATATAGTCTATGTATTTCTCTCTCTCTCTCTCTCTTTTTTTTTTTTTTGAGATGGACTTTTGCTTTTGTCACCCAGGCTGGAGTGCAATGGTGCGATCTCGGCTTACTGCAACCTCCGCCTCCCGGGTTCAAGCGATTCTCCTGTCTTAGCCTCCCGAGTAGCTGGGATTACAGGCGACCACCACCATGCCCAGCTAATTTTTGTATTTTTAGTAGAGATGGGGTATTTCACCACATTGGCCAGGCTGGTCTCGAACTCCTGACCTCAGGCGATCTGTCCGCCTCAGCCTCCCCAAGTGCTGAGATTACAGGCGTGAGCCAGCACACCCAGCCTAGTCTATGTATTTCTTTAATAAAGGAACTTCCCTACCATGTGATCGGGGAAGTATCAGAGAGCACAGGAGAGGCATAAGTAATACAAAGGCCAAATAAAAATGAACTGACATAGACAACTGAGTAAACCAAGAGGACACAATGCCAAGGGCACAGTCACACACCTGTTTGCACATCGACATGCTTTCTGCCTTCCACAGGTTCAGGTGTTTGTGGTCTGAGCTGCTCTTGGGCTTGTTTTCTGGCAAGAGCCCTCTTCCTAGCCTCCCGTTGTCTCTGGAGCTCTAGAGAATCAGGCCGTCCGAGCTAACAGTGATAGAAAATACTTCTAGAATTTAGAAAATATTTATTAAAGCATACAGGAACTGCCATTCCAAAAGCAATTCCTGAGTAGTATAAAGGCATTTGTCATAATGTTTCTTGATTATCAGTAACTTCATTAAAATTGTATTGGTACTTTGTCAGATAATTACAAAGATGTTTGACAAAGCATAAAAGCAACTTCAAAGTATGGCTGTTAACTGGAATATATGGGTGCACAATCCTATCTATATATTTAGAAAAATAATAAAAACATTTCCTTTTTAATTTATTCATTGACCTGCTGATCATTCAGGAACATGCTGTTTAATTTCTATGTATTTTTGTAGCTTCCAAGATTCCTCTTATTATTGATTTCTAGTTTTACTTCATTGTGGTCAGCAAAGATATTCGATATGATTTCTACTTTTTTGAATTTGTTCAGACATGTTTTGTGGCCTAAGATATGGTCTATTCTGAAGAATGATCCATGTGCTGAAGAAAAAAAATGTGTACTCTGCAGAAGATGGATAAAATGCTCTATAAATATCAGTTAGTCCTAATAGGTCTAGTGTGAAGTTTAACACCAATTTTCTTTTCTTTCTTTTTCTTTTTTTCCTGATTTTCTGTTTGGATTATCTATTCATTACTGAGAACAGGTTGTTAAAGTCTCCTAATATTAATGCAGTCTATCTCTCCCTTTAGATCTATTCATGTTTGCTTTATATAGTTGGGAGCTCTGGTGTTGGGTGCATGGATATTTATCATTGTTACATCCTCTGGCTGAATTGATCACTTTATTATTACAGAGTGACTGTGTTTCTTTTTACAGTCTTTGATTTGTAGTTTATCTGATGTAAGTATACTCATGCTCTTTTTTGGTTTCTAGTTGCATGGAAAATCTTTTTCCATCCCTTTACTTTCAGTCTATGTGTGTCTCTGTAGGTGAAGTGGGTTTCTTGAAGGAGCATATAGTTGGGTCTCGTTCCTTTATCCAATCAGCTCTTCTATGCCTTTTAATTGGAGAACCGAGTCCTCTTACATTCAGTGTTATTATTGATAAAGCAAGGACTTACTACTACCATTCTGTTGCTTATTTTCTGGTTGTTTTGTATCTCCTTCCTTCTTTATTGTCTTTCTTTGTGTTAAGTGACTTTATCTGGTAGTATATTTTAGTTTGTTGCTTTTAATTTTTGGTGAATCTATTACAGATTTTTGCATTGTGGTTACCATGAGGCTTATAAAAAACATAGATATAACAAGTTGTTTGCAGAGATGACAACTTATCTTAGATCACAAAGAACAGAAGCAAAGAAAAAAAGAAAAAAAATTCTACACTTTAACTCCATCCCCCCACATACTAACTTTTAGCTGTCTCATTGCACATATTTTTATATCACCTACCTCTTAACAGGTTGCTGCAGCTATTACTGTTTTTGATAGTTGTCTTTTGGGCCTCATAGTAGAATTATGAGTGGACCGCATACCACAGTTATAGTATGAGAGTATTCTAGGTTTGTCTATGTACTTAATTTAACCAGTAAGTTTCATACCTTCAAATGTTTTCTTTTGGCACATTAGTGTTTTTTGTTGCTGTTGTTCAGGCTGAAGAATTCCCTTCAACACTTCTTGTAAGATGGGCGTGGTGGTGCTGAATTTGCTCAGCTTTTATTTGTCTAGGAAAGACTATCTCTCCTTCATATTTGAGGGATAACTTTGTGGATACAATATTGTTACATGATTTTTTTTCTTTCAGCACTTTGAAAATATCACCCCAGTCCCTCCTGGTCATCTCACTCCCTCCTGGCCTGTACAGTTTCCACTGAGAAGTCTGCTGCCAGATGGATTGGAGCTCCTTCATGTATGCTATTTGCTTCTTTTCTCTTGCTGCTTTTGGGATTCTTTTTTTGTCCTTGACCTTTGAGAGCTTGATTATTCTATGGGGTATTATTTGGGGTGAATCTGTTTGGTATTCTCTGGCCTTCCTGTACCTGGATATCTATCTCTTTCTCAAGTTTTGGAAAGTTTTCTGTTAGTATTTCTTAAAACAAGCTTCCCACTCCTTGCTCTTGCTCAATTCCCTCTTGAACACAAGTAATTCTTAGCTTTGATCCTTTGGGGGTAATTTTCTATATCTTATAAGCAGTCTTTGTTTCTTCTCATTCTTTTTTCTCCTCAGACTGTGTATTTTCAAATAGTCTGTCTTTGTCTTCATGTTCACTGATCCTTTCCTCTGCTTGATTCATTCTGTTGTTGAAAGCCTCTAATAAATTTTTCAGTTCAACAAATGTATTACTCAGCTCCAAGATTTCTGCTTGATTTTTAAAAATTATTTCAATCTCTTTGTTACATTTCTCTAACAAATTTCTAAATTGCTTTTCTGTGTTATCTTAGACATCGCTGAATTTCCTTAAGACTGCTATTTTGAATTTTTGGTCAAAGAGCTCACATCCTGCCATCTCATTAGGGCCAGTTACTGATTCCTTGCTTTGTCCCTTTAAGTAGGTCATGGTTCTCTGTTTGCTGTTGTTTCATGTGGATGGACGTCTATGTCTCTGCACTGAAGGATTATTTAATCCAGTCTAATCTGTCTGGCTTGTTTTGCTTTTTATTGGATATATTTTCTTAGAGTTTTTTTTTATCTTTTTTGAGACAGAGTCTCGCTCTGTCACCCTGGCTGGAGTGCAGTGGTGTGATCTTGGCTCACTGCAACCTCTGCCTCCTGGGTTCAAGCGATTCTCCTGACTCAGCCTCTCAAGTAGCTGGGATTACAGGTGCCCGCCACCATGCCTGGCTAATTTTTGTATTTTTAGTAGACGTGGGGTTTCATCATATTGGTCAGGCTGGTCTCGAACTAATGACCTCAAGCGATCTGCCTGCCTTGGCCTCCCAAAGTGCTGGGATTACAGGCATGAGACACTGCGCCCCGACAGAGATCCTTTATCACTAGATTGCTGCCTCCTTTTTGGCTCTAGGTGGTGCCTTAAGGCCAGGTTCACCTGGCTCTAGTAAATGATCAGAGCACTGCCCATCCTGAATGGGGGAGGTCCCAAAGGGGATACACTGGTAGTGTGACTGGCTAGGGGTTTGTGCCCAGGGGACCGGTACAATGTTATCTCCTACAATGTGGTGCTGCTGAACAGCCACTCTGATTTGGTGTTTCCTTTGGTTGAGTTATACAGCAGAGTGTCCAGGGCTGGAGATGGTAGTCTCACCTCCCCATTTTGTTTTTGGCTGTACTCAGGGGTATTTCTCTCTTCAGGAACTCATGATGCTTCTGGTGGGTTGAATTTCCTGCCAGGAAACCCAACATGGTAGGGAAACTAGTTGTCCACCTTGATCTTTTTCCAGTGCAGAAATCACAAGTCAGAGATAAATCCTTGCGATGGTTAATACTGAGTGTCAACTTGATTGGATTGAAGGATACCAAGTACTGATCCTGGGTGTGTCTCAGGGTGTTGCCAAAAGAGACTATCATCTGAGTCAGTAGGCTGGGAAAGGCAGACCCACCCTTAATCGGGGTGGGCACAATCTAATCAACTGCCAGAGTGGCTAGAATATAAGCAGGCAGAAAAATGTGGAAAGAGAGACTGGCCTAGCCCCCCAGCCTACATCTTTCTCCTGTGCTGGATGCTTCCTGCCCTTGAACACTGAACTCCAAGTTCTTCAGTTTTGGAGCCTGGACTGGCTCTCCTTGCTCCTCAGCCTGCAGATGGCCTATTGTGGGACCTCGTGATTGTGTGACTTAATACTTAATAAACTCTCCTTTATATATATATATATCTATTCCATTTGTTCTGTCCCTCTAGAGAACCCTAATACAATCCTCCACACCCTTAGTGCCAGGCAGACTAGAAGGAGAGATACTGTAGACATGAACGTCTGATTCTCCTACCATCTCCTTGAAGCTTTTTCACTTTTCTGTAGCCCTGGGAACTGCTTCTTCCTTCAACTTGAGCTTTAGAATATTGCTGGTGGTAATCTTGGCACTGTACATTTGTTCTTGATTTTCTTTTGCAGGGGGAGTGAAGCCAGCCTGCTTCTATGCTGCCATTTTGGAACTCCTGAAAAATATTTTCACTGGATTAGAATTAGAGCTTGATAGTTCTTTAAGGACTTGAAAAATATTGTGCCACTTTCTTGTCTCCATGTTTTAGGTAAGAAATCCACTGCCATTTAAATCATTGTTCTCCTTTAGCTAACGTGTAATTTCTTTCTGGCTAATTTCAAAATGTTTTTTTTTTTAATTTTCAAAAGTTTGATCTTGATTTGTCTCGGGTAGATTTCTTTGGGTTTATCCTCTTGGGGGGTCACTTGGCTTCTTGGATCTGTAGGCCTTTTGCCAAATTTGTGGAATTTTCAAGCACGATTTCTTCAAATATTTTTCCATCTCATAGTTTTCCTCCTCTCCTTCTAGGATTCCAACAACATGAATGTAAATCTTTGTGATTGTTCTTCAGCTCTCTCAGCCTTTTTTTTTTTTTTTTGGTCTATTTTCTCTCTGTTCAGCTGGATAACTTCCGTTCTTCATTGATTCTTCTTCAAATTTACTGACTGTTTCCTATGCCATTTCCAATGTACTACTGAGTCCATCCAGTGAGTTTATTTTAGTTATTGTATTTTTCAGTTCTATAAGTTTCCATTTGGTTCACTTTTGTATCTTGTATTTCTTTGCTAAGATTTTTTTATTTGTTTCAAGAGTGTCTATAATTGCTCACTTTTCATTGAAACATTTTTGATTGTTGCTTTAAAATCCTTGTCAGGTAATTCCCACATCTGAGTCATCTTGGTTTTGTCATTTCTTGATTGTCTTTCCTCATGCAAGTTGTGACTGTCCTGATTCTTGTATGATGAATGATTTTTGTTTGTATCCTGGCTATTTTGGGTATTATATTTTAAGACTTTGGATTCTATTTAATTTTTCAGTAGGAAGTCACCCTTTTTGTTTTAGTGCACAAGCCTGAGTGGGGTTGGAAGTTCAACTTCCTGCTGGGCCCCACTGACACCACCTCAACAAAAGCAGAGGGTCAACTTGTACCAACACATTGGTGCCAGGTGGGGGTGGTAGTTCAGCTCCTTTCTAGGCTCTGTCGACACTGGTGGTGGTGTAGGGCGAGTGCAGCATTGACTAGCACTGCCTCATACCACCTTGTTACTACCAGATAGGACTGCAATTCAGCTACCCCACTGGGTTTGCTGGCACCACCCCAGAAAGAGTGGGGCACTGACTTGTGCCATCTCCTACTACCTCATTGGTACTGGGTGAAGGTGACAGTTCAGCTTCCTGCTCCACCCTTGTTGATACCACCTCAGTGGGAGAAGCAGGGAACCCCTGGAGGTTCTAATGCAGGAGATCCAGGATAGGGCTGAAGTGTATATACATACATACATATATATATGTTTATTAAGTTAACCATTGCTTCAGACTAATAGATGTTCCCCAACTTATGTGGTTTATGATTTTTCAGCTTTATGATGATACAAAAGTATCCACAGAAAATGTACTTTGAATACTCATACAACCATTCTATTTTTCACTTTAATATTTCATAAATTATATGAGATATTCAGTACTTTATTATAAAATAGGCTTTGTGTTAGATGATTTTTCCCAACTGTAGGCTAATGAGCACTGTTTTTTTTTTTTTTTTTTTTGTAGACAGGGTCTCATTCTGGGAACATACCTTAGGTGGGTTCTTCACATCCCTCATTTGACATTCAACAACATTCTCTCTAACGTGGATTTGAATGCTATTATTCATCTTTAACTTCTTTTTAATCACGTATTTCTTGATACTCCCTGCCTCAGACTCCGATTCAGGGCACACTGAGCTTCCCTCAATTCCTTAACCTTCTAGGTTGTATTTTTGTTTTTGTTTTTTGAGACAGGGTTTCCCTCTGTCACCCAGGCTGGAGTGCAGTGGTGTGATCACAGCTCACTGCAGCCTTGTCCTCCTGGGCTCAATCAATCCTTCTGCCTCAGCCTCCCAAGTAGCTGGGACTACAGGGGCGTGCCACCATGCCCAGCTAATTTTTGTGGGGTTTTTTTTTTTTTTTTTTGTAGAGACAGGGTTACCCACATTGCCCAGGCTGGTCTCAAGCGCCTGGGCTCAAGTGATCTGCCCACCTTGGCCTCCCAAACTGCTAGGATTACAGGCGTGAGCCACCACGCCTGGCCTCTGAGCATATTTAAGGTAGGCTATGCTATGTTATGGTGTTCGGCAGGTTTGGTGTTTTAAATTCATTTTCAGTGTTCAGTGGGTTTATTGGGACGTAACCTCATCCTAAGTGGAGGAGCATCTCTATCACCATCTTGTATTAGGCACTTACATGTCATATACTGTTTATGGATTCATCTGTATTTCATTTCTGTGCCAAGAACTCACCACCCTTAATATCATACCATGTCTTACTCATCTCTGTATCCTAGGTACCCAGAACAGGACCTAAAACTCAATAAATATTTGTTGAGTGAATTAAAGAAGCAGAATTCAGACTTTTTGATTAAATAATGATAATTGTATTAGAGTATGAGATAATCTAAACAAATCTAGATGCAATAGACAAGTGCCACTCAAAATGTGGGCCTCTGGCTAGTGTCTATAAACTATTTGAACTGGTCTGTAACAATTTAAGTACAGAAATTGAGAGTAAAGGTTTAGAAATGTTTAGAATGGCAGAGTTCTGTTGAATCGAATGAAAAATTGGGGCTTTTTTTTTTGAGATGTAGTCTCACTCTGTCGCCAGACTGGAGTGCAGTGGTGCGATCTCGGCTCACTGCAACTTCTGCCTCCTGGGTTCAAGCAATTCTCCTGCCTCAGCCTCCCGGGTAGCTGGGACTACAGGCGAGCGCCACCACACCCAGCTAATTTTTGTACTTTTAGTAGAGACGGGGTTTCACCATGTTGGCCAGAATGGTCTTGATCTCCTGACCTCGTGAGCTGCCCGCCTTGGCCTCCCAAAGTGCTGGGATTACAGGCGTGAGCCACCGCGCCCGGCCAACTGGGGCTTGCTTTTTTTTTTTTTTTTTTTAGCTAATTCTTTTTTTGTGGTAAAACACACATAATGTAAAATTTATCACCTTAACCATTTTTAAGTATAAAATTCAGTGGTATTAATTACATTCACATTGTTCTATCACTGTCACCATCCTCTATCTCCGGAACTCTTTTCACCTTGCAAAACTGAAACTCTACACTCATTAAACAATAACTCCCTCCCTGGTCCCCTCATCCCCCAGCTCCTGGAAACTGTCACTGGGCTTCTATTTGTATGTCTTTTTAAAAATTTCATTTTTATAGTAATTCATCTTTATTTTATGAATGTTTTAGTCTGCAACGGATTAGAAATTAACACCAAGAAACTGATCCTTCCCCATAGATAATGTGAGAACACGGTGTTAGACTATTCAAACTGAACTTACCAGTGGCCCTGTCTGGAGTGCATAAGTGTTACCTCGAATTACCCTTCTGTCATACATTATGTTTCCATAATGCATAGGTTCTTCATCTCTGTAAAACAGAAAATTCTGTATAACCACTTTAATAGAGTATTGGTATCTATGAAGTAACTCATTTTCAATAGGATTTAGACTAAAATCAATATATTTTAAGAAAATAAATTTCTGTTTTAGTGTGGTCCATAAAATAAGGAGGTAAATGGATACAATTTATGTAATGCTTACTATATGCCAGGTCCTTCATGTACATTATTTTATTTATTATTCACAATAAGCTGCAAGTTGGGAATTATGATTCCTTTTTCAGAAGGGGAAACAGACTCAGGAATCTGCCAAAGGTCACCTTGCTAGTAAGTGGCAGGACTAGATTTAGGTTGTAAATCTGTATGACTTTAGGAAATATGAAAATGTCCCATTTGAAAAGGAGCCTTCTTTAAAGTACTGAAAAAAGCTTGATTCAAAGATTGAAAAGTTACACTAATAAAAAAATGAGGCTTAAAAATTAAGTCAATTTTCTCATTGTTCTTTAAACCCAAATATATTTTTTAAAGTTATTGTTGAAAATGTTAATACTATTTTCCAGCCTGGCCAACATGGTGAAACGCTGTCTCTACTAAAAATACAAAATTAGCCAGGCCTGGTGGCCTGCACCTGTAATCCCAGCTGCTCTGGAGCCTGAGGCATGATAATGGTTTCAGCCCAGGAGGCAGAGGTTGCTGTGAGCTGAGATTGGGCTACTGAACTCCAGCCTAGGAGACAGAGAAAGACTTTGTCTCAAAAAATAAATAAATAAATAAGAAATAAAATAAAATATTAATTTCAGTGATTGAATGATTGCTAGTAAAAAATACAAAAACACAGTTGATATTTCCATTCAAAGTTATTTCAATTATATATTGCTTATAGCTAAGACACTAAACATTGCCCTACACCAATAACAGTACTCTATGGGAAATGATTCTGAGTGGGGTATAAGTTGCTTTTTTTTCATATATTGAAGCCACTATTGAACATTCTAACAAGTTTCATTTCTTGTATTAATTGATCTCTGGGCAGTGTTAAGCCCAGCTGGCCACTCCTTCACTGAAGCATTCTCTTTCCTAGGCCTCTGTGTTACCACTATAATCTTCTGATTGTTTTTCTACTACTTCTCTAACACCTTTTTCTTAGCCTTTGTTTGCAGTTCCTCCCATACTGGAGGATTTCCTCCGGGCTCAGCCTTCTCTTATCCTTAGTTGACCTCATCCATCTTCAAGACCTCAATTATAATCCATATACCCAAAACTCTCAATTTTTATTTTTAGCTGAGAACTCTTCTCTCAACTCTAGGCATATCCAGTTACCCAATGACATCTCACTATGTTACCTGGAAGGCAACCTCAGAATTGAACTAATTATCACTCTCCCATTCCAACTCATTACTTCTTCAGTGTTTCCTATTTCATTAAATGGTACTACTAACTACATAGTTGGCTTAAAATAACGCATTTATTCTCAGAATTCTGCAATTTAGATGTCCAAAATGGGTGTCAACAGGACTGCACTCCTCCTGGAGGTCCTGGGGAGAATGTTTCTTTGCCTTTTCCAGCCTCTAGAGACTGCCCTCATTCCGTGGCTTGTGGTCGCCTTCCAGTCAGCATTTGTGTGATTCTGACCTTTGCTTCTAATGACACATCTCCTTCTATGACTCAGACTCCTGTGCCTTCTTCTTTCACTTTATTTTATTTTTATTTTTTTTGAGACAGAGTCTCACTCTGTCACCCAGGCTGGACTGCAGAGGTGCAATCTTGGCTCACTGCAAGCTCCGCCTCCTGGGTTCATGCCATTCTCCTGCCTCAGCCTCCCGAGTAGCTGGGACTACAGGCGCCCGCCACCACGCCCGGCTCATTTTTTTTTGTATTTTTTTAGTAGAGACGGGGTTTCACCGTGTTAGCCAGGATGGTCTGGATCTCCTGACCTCGTGATCCGCCCACCTTAGCCTCCCAAAGTACCGGGATTACAGGCGTGAGCCACCGTGCCCATCCTTCTTCTTTTACTTTTAAGGCCCCACTGTGATTCTACTGGGCCCACCTGGATAAGCCAGGCTAATTTCCCATCTCAAGATCTCCCATCTCAAGATCCTTAATGTAATCACATCTCAAAGTCCCTTTTACCACATAACATGTTCACAGGTTCTGGGGACTAGGAAGAGGACATCTTTGGGGAATCATTATTCTGCCCTCTACGGTGATTTTAAACCTTATTTGACCTGAGTAAAAATAAAAATAAAAAAAAGGTATGTTCTAAGGTTTTAATTCATTTGCATTAAAAATGTTATTTTATTGGAAGGGTTATATATCCTTTACCAAAGGATTTGTAAAATGAGGGAATGTCATTATCACAATTGTCTTTTCACACATGCCTAAAGGTGAATTTAATGGCATTTATGATCACCCAACTACCAAGAAATACATAAAAGATGTATTACATTCTCTTGTTTGTAAATGAGAAGACTAGTATTCAAATGTTCTCTTTCAGCTTTATAATCCTATGAAAAGGTGGAAGTTCTTGATTCACATTAGACTTGTGTTAAATTTCTAGACCCTTTCAAAGGAAAAATCAGATACTCCCATTTCTGTATTTGTGTAACTGACTTCTCATACCTAAGTAAAACTTCACAGCTTTCCAATTAAGTTTCATTTTTTGGTTTCAGCCCAGTTATATATACCCAATCAAGATAATTTAGAACCTTGACTCCCTTCAGTCATAAGTTAGTTATCCATTCCAGCCATGTGTCATCTGAAAAACTGAAGATTTATCCAGTTCAACATAAAATTTTGAACATGAAAGAACTAAACGACATTCTAGGATAGAGACAGATTGACACAAAAGCATACTCTTTTTGGATATGGTCATTTAGTTACTCACCAGCAAGTACTAAAAGTACTGCTGTGGTCTGGATATGGTTTGTCGTCTCCACTAAAACTCACATGGAAATTTAATTTCCAATATGGCAGTGTTGGGAAGTGGGGCCTAGTGGGAGGTGTTTGGAACATGGGTGGATCCCTCATGAATGGCTTGGCACCAGTTCTCGCAGTAGTGAGGGAACTCTTACTCTCAAGAGACTGGATTAAGTTCTCACAGGACTAGTTCCAGAGACAGCAAGTTGCTACAAAATGAGGTACTTCCTCCTGTTTGGCCACTTCCCACGGATCTGCTTCCCCTTTGACCTTCTCCATCATGTTATGAAACAACAAGAAAAGCCCTCACTAGAAGGCAAGCAGATGCCAGCACCATGCTCTTGTACTTCTCAGTCTGCAGAGCTGTGAGCTAAATAGATCTCTTTATAGACTATCCAGTTTCAGATACTCTGTTAGAGCAACATAAGATGGATTAAGACAAGTACTCTCCTGAACACTTTTTTTTTTTTTTTTTTGAGACAGAGTTTCGCTTTGTCGCCCAGGCTGGAGTGCAGTGGCGTGATCTTGGCTCACTGCAACCTCCGCCTTCTGGGTTTAAGTGATCCTCCTGCGTCAGCCTCCCAAGTACCTGGGATTACAGGTACATGCCACCATGCCCGGCTACTCTCCTGAACACTTAAAAAATATTTTATTCATAAGGATATCAGAGGAGAATATTATCCTTATCCATAAGCAAATTATGGATAAAATATCAGTATTTTATCCATTAGGATATCAATGATTATGATTTGTAAGATAATACTTCCTCAAAATTGAGATTTTTCTGTCTTGTGCATTACTCAGATATACTAATAAACTAATCAATAGATTACTTCAATATACTAATCAACTATCAAAAAAGTTGTTCCTAATGAACCACCATTGATTCTTGTTTCTAATCTGTTGGTCTGATTGGATAGTAATGATTTGTAAGCAACCACTTAAAGGCACCAGAAAGTGTTTTTGGAAGGATTAGAAAATTTTAAAATTGAATCCTTTTCTAATATAAATGATCACTCTTCAAATTTAAATTTTCTATTTTAGTTTTCTTACAGTGATAGACATCTCTTATAGAAAAAGAATTTGTTAGAACAAGATAATTATGAATTTAGAAAGAGCGTTTGAAATAAGCATCAATAATTACATTGTTGATGTTCAATCATCAGTTTGACAATTCGTATTAAGTGCTTACTATGTACCAGGCATTGTACTAGGTGAACAAAAGATGCAAAAGTTCCTGCATCCATGGAGCTTGCATTCCTATAAAGTTCTGCTGAATTCAACATTTGAGGCTTATGGAAAGAACTTTAGAGAACCGTTTAACTTTAAGAGAACTTTAAGAGTTTATGTTTTTTTTGCTGGGTGTGGTGGCTCAGGCCTGTAATCCCAGCATTTTGGGAGGCCGAGGCGGGCGGATCATGAGGTCAGGAGATCGAGAGTATCCTGGCTAACATGGTGAAACCCCGTCTCTACTAAAAAAATACAAAAAAAAAAAAAAAAAAAAAAAGAGCCGGGCGTGGTGGCGGGCGCCTGTAGTCCCAGCTACTTGGGAGGCTGAGGCAGGAGAATGGCGTGAACCCGGGAGGTGGAGGTTGCAGTGAGCCGAGATTGTGCCACTGCACTCCAGCCTGGGCGACAGAGCGAGACTCCGTCTCAAAAAAAAAAAAAGAAAAAAAAAAAGGCTTATGTTTTGTTTTTTTTCTTTCCTATGTATGTTTGAATATTTGCAACTGTTCATGGATGTAAAAACACAAACTGCCGTCCGGGCGCGGTGGCTCACGCTTGTAATCCCAGCACTTTGGGAGGCCGAGGCGGGCGGATCACTTGAGGCCAAGAGTTTGAGACCAGCCTGGCCAACGTGGCAAAACCCTGTCTCTACTAAAAATACAAAGATTAGCCGGGGGTGGTGGAGGGCGCCTCTAGTCCCAGCTACTTGGGAGGCTGAGGCAGGAGAATCGTTTGATCGGGGAGGAGTGGGGGAGGGGGGCGGAGGTTGCAGTGAGCGGAGATCGCGTCATTGCAGTCCAGCCTGGGCGACAAGAGCGAAACTCCGTCTCAAAACAACAACAGCAACCACCACCACCACCACCACCACCACCACAAAAAACCAATCTGTGGTCCTGCATGGAAGAATAATCTTACTCCTGCTCAAAGCCTGCCGAAGAGATTTACTCGGCTCCCATTTTGGATATGCTACTGTTGGATATCTTTGCACCGCGGTCTCCTCATCTGCATAATGGAGTTATAAAATCAACTTCACAGCACTGTGGATTAACTAAGAAAACGTATTTGAATGCCCCCCGTAAGGTGCTCAGCACGTAGTTGGCCCTCAATACACACTGGTACAATTCAAACTTTGTGAAATGAGCCAATTCGTGTACATGTTAAGGACCACGGCAGCAACTCATATCACTAAAAGTTAACTGATGCCCAACCCATGCCCCTTCCTGCTTCACTCCTCCACACCACGGGAGATTCCTTAGGGCAGAACTTTTATTTCGGCAGAGTGCAGCCAAGGGAAGACAGCATAAGCAGCTTTTTTGCCAGGGCGAAGGGGCCAGACCCCGGCCTGGGGATGGGGTGCAAGTATGGACCACACAGGGGCTGGCTTGGTCACTCACGGCTGCGTCAGGCTGTCCCGGTAACGGCTGCGCTGGCAGGGCAGTGCTCGGGGCCGGCTGGTGTAGGTGTAGGTGCTCGGGGCCCGAGAGGTGCGATCAGTCAGCGCTGAGGCCATGTCCGGGGGCTGACTGCCTCGCTTTCGGTGGAGCTTGGCTTTGAAGCAGGTGGGCGCTAAGGTGTTGTGGGACCCGGAGAGATGTAAGTAGTGCCAAGGGCAAGGATTCCGCGACGCGAGGAGAGGCGACAACAAGGGAGGCGGGCGGGACGGGAGGTTACCAGCGCAGGAGGTGGGAGCTATACTGGGCTCGCTCCCAGCACCACAGAGACCAGCTGCGGGGGCCGCATCGGTTGCCCAGCAACCCAGGGTTCTGTCTGGGGGCGGGAACTCCGGGCAGTTCCGGTCCCCAGGTTTCCCGGGAAGGACTGCGGCACAAGGGACTTCCGGCTCTTGACTCCGCCCAGCCGCGCCACCCAGGTAGGTGCGCCTGCGCTTTGCGAGGTTCCTGGCTAGGGAGGCGGCCTTGGCTGGCTTGACCGTCATCCTTGAGGCCTGCGGGGCAACGGTGGCTGTCCTTGGCCCGGCTTTGGAATGTGGCTTTGCAGGGCTGGTGTTGGCGCCATTCTCGCAGGCCCACGTGCTCCTGCTCTTCCAGGGTGTCCTCGGCTGTTTCTCCTGCCGCGGCGCAGCAGCGCTCCCAGGCTGCCCCCGCGATAACACGCCCCTGGCAGCCAGGCTCCCAGCTCTGTTACGTGCCCGGGCGGGGAAGAGCTTCCTGGTGTCTCCCGGCTCCTGCCCTTCTCCCGCCCCAGGGGCGGGCTGCCGCCGCCCTCTGCAGCTGAGTCAGTGCAGTTCCTCACCTACCTTCTCTGCTCACCGCTGTGTGCTAGCAATCGGAGGACCCTTGGCACACGGAGCGACAGGGGCCTCCCCCACAGACACCTCATTTTGGGAAAGAAGTGAGCAATTTATTGAGTCTTAAAAAATACAAAGGCATAGTTCCCCTTAATCTATCAGGCTTCCAGCTCTAAAGAATGTCTCTAGTATTGCGGGGTGGGGCTGCGCTTAAAAACGCAGACGCTTTGGTTTTAGTACCAGCAACGTTAAAAATCTTCTATCTTGTATGAGTGAATGTGTATCCCTTGTGATCAGTTATTTGCATTTGCAGTTACACCTTCATTCAGCTAATTGCTGTCTTGATTTGAATCCAGGTTCTAGAATGTACTAGCTCCGAAACCTCAGGCAAGTTAAATGTTTTTGTGCTTCATTTTCCTAATCCACAAAGTGGCAATAGAAGAATTTATCTCTTTAGGTTTTGTCTTGAGGATTAAAACCGTTAATACTTAGAGCTGTGCCTGGTAAATGGCAAGCCTTTATATTAAGATCTGGACCGTTCTGTGCTTTGAAGTGTATGACCTAAAGCAGATGTAGGCATTCTATAAGTAACACTAGCATAAAGGTGTATGGTAAATTCTAGAGGTGAAAACACTCCCAACATATTTTAGGTCTGATCATTTAATTTTGAGGTAATTTCTGAAAGGGCTAGAGGAGAAAGTGACATTTAAGTTGTGTTTGATAAATGATAGTATTTTAACTGGCCAGCCTCTTGGGGGAAGTGCATTCGGAATGGCTTGATCAAAGGCTCAAGAAGCCCAAGGTGCATTTGGAAAACTGTAAGCAAGGTTTGTGTAGATGAGTTGTAGAAATATATATAGACAGGCTGACACCACATCGTGGAAACAGTAAACACTAGCATATTAATTAGAATATTTTTTCCCTCAAGTAACAAAAAACCAATTCCAAGTGGCTGAAATAATAAGGAATTCATTATTTTACACTCCCCAGGTTGGTTAACCTGGAGGGTAACTTGGGGGCTCAGCACATTATCAACAACACGTTTTTTCCCCTACCTTTCCACTCTGTCACCTGGGTTGTTGGCTTCAACAAAGTAGTAATAGAAGTATCTGCTCTTTTGTCTTTATTGGAAGAGCAAAACCCCCTCGTAAACTCCCAACTGACCAGAATTACATCATATTGATTTAAGCTTAGGATCTATATAAGACCACCATATTTGGATTAGACCAGGTAACCGGTCTTTCTAGGCCTCCAAGAAACACTTGGCCAGGGAGGAGGAGAACAAATTCTGTTAGGAGGATGTTGGGGCAGAATTGAGTGGGTATTAAGTGGGTAAACAATAGTGCTATACCAGCCACAGTGGGCTTTATAAAGAAATTGATAGCCACTATAGGTTCTTGTACAAGTTTCTTTCTTTTTTTTTTTTTTTAGATGGAGTCTCGCTCTGTGGCCAGGCTGGAGTGCAGTGGCGCGATCTTGGCTCACTGCAACCTCCGCCTCCCCGGTTCAAGTGGTTCTCCTGCCTCAGCCTCCTGAGTAGCTGGGACTACAGGCGTGTGCCACCCCGTCCAGCTAATTTCTGTATTTTTAGTAGAGGCGGGGTTTCACCATGTTGGCCAGGATGGTCTTGTTCTCTTGACCTGGTGATCCGCCCTCCTCAGCCTCCCAAAGTGTTGGGATTACAGGCGTGAGCCACTGTGCCTGGCCTGTACAAGTTTTTATCCACAGCCTGTTTCTCTTCTTGTACTTTCTCCCAGGGCAGTCCCATTTCACGTCTGTAATTTCTAGTACCACCTATATACTCAGGGTAGCAAAGGATGTATCTCTAACCTAGACTTCTCCCTCAGGTGACAGTCCTGGATATCTGACTATTTTGTGGACAACTCTTGGATGATCTGAAACTGAAAGATTCATTCCACAAATAGTTATGTGTATCTAGTATGTGCCAAGCATTGTTGTTTTCTTGTCCCTCGTCCCCACTCCCCTGGTGTTAGTGGGGATATAGCAGTGAAAAACAAAAACAAACAACAGATTAAAAGTCCTGCCTTGACAGAATTTATATTCTAGTGGAGGAGTCATACAAACAAGAAAAGTGAGTACATTATGGGTGTTACATAATTATAATAGCTAATTCGAAATAAAGCAGGAAATAAGGCTAGGTGCTAGGGGCATGGGAGACCTATCAATTTTATAGTGGTCAGAGAAGGCTTCATTGAGAAGGTGACATTTGAGTAAAGACTTGAAGGAGGTGAAGAAATGAAACTTGAGACTTGTGACTAATTGTCACAGCATTCCAGGTCAAGGAAGCAGCCAATTCCTCGTTCTAAGGCAGGAAGTCGTGTTGGGGATGGCAGTAAGAGTGAGTGGAGCAGAGTGAGCACAAGGAGGAGCATTCGGAGATGAAGTCAGAGGCTGGGCCGTGCGCCCTGTTGTAGGTCAGTGAAAGGACTTTAGGTTTTACTCTAGGGTTAAAAGTCCCTAAAGGGTTTTGAGTAGAAGCTTGACATAGTTTGATTAAAAAAATTTGTTTTTTCTAGTTGTTTGGTTGAGAATAGACTGAAGTGGGGCAAAGGCAGAAGCAGAGAGACCAGATAGGAAGCTGCTCCCAATAAGGCTGGTGAGAGGGTGGCTTGGATCTGGTGTAGGTGTGGTGCTCGGGCCCGAGAGATGCAGTGAGTCAGTGCCGAGGCCATGTCGGGGGACAGACTGCCTTGCTTTCAGTGGAGCTTGGTTCTGGATCTGGGACAAAAGTGGTGGGAAGATCCCAGCTCAATTTTGAAGGTAGAACAGATTGGACGTGACGTGGTGCACGAGAGAAAGAAAGGCAAAAGAGATGAACCTAAGGTTTCTGATTAAATGTTAGACATTGTGTAGGAAAAAAATCACATAGAGGCTCTGGCAAAAAAAAAAAAACTAAATAAATAAATAAAAAATAAATAAATAAATTGCATAGAGACTGTGGCTGATGTTGTGTTTCTCCAGAAAGGATTTAATTTTATTCTGGCAAGCAATTAGAGTAGGAACGGATGACTTTTTTTTTTTTTTTTTTTGAGGCGGAGTTTTGCTCTTGTTGCCCAGGCTGGAGTACAATGGCACTGTCTTGGCTCACTGTGGCCTCCACCTCCCGGGTTCAAGCAATTCTCCTGTCTCACCTCCCAGGTAGCTGGGATTACAGGTGTGCACCACCATGCCCGGCCAATTTTGTATTTTTTTAGTAGAGACTGGGTTTCACCATGTTGATCAGGCTGGTCTCGAACTCCTGACCTCAAGTGATCCACCTGCATTGGCCTCCTAAAGTACTGGGATTACAGGTGTGAGCCCCTGCGCCTGGCCTCAGATGACCTTTAATTAGGGATTCAGACTTTGTGAGGGCTGATCATTTTCTAGTTTGGCCTTATCCCAGAGCTAGGCCTTTCTATTCTTTCTCAACATGAACATCTGTGGTATTTAACAGGTCCCCATCTTTGGGTGACCTTGAACTCCAATTTTTGTACTCCCAGCTCTGTGAGACTGTTGAAATGTACACTTAGCATTTTAGCTATTTAGCAACTGTTTGGTTTCTTGATTTCCAGTGCCCTTACAGCTTAGAATTCAGCAAATGCCTCAAGGATAAAAGCCAAACTAAATGTCAGACTGGCTTCTCTATGATCCTCCTTTCTTTGGGATCTGTCCCTTCAAGTCCTATCCGCAGTTTTCAACTCCAATTTTTTATCTCCCCGTATCTGAAAGGGCCCTGATACCTCCAGGTCACTGCTTTCTGCTCGCCATAAATGCCCTGCACAAAACTCAGCAAATGACCCAATCAGAAAAAGCAATGGAGAAGTTCTGTATCACTTTATGCATCTGTCTTCTGGGATCCCAGTCTCTCATGTCTTGACCATCTTGGTTGCTCTCCAGTGTCTTCAAACAGCCTGTGTAGTTTTTGTTATGTGTGCTTTTTTAAATGTTCAGCTCTTGTGCTTATTCCCATGAGAGGACTGGTTTAATTTAAACTATTCAATTACAGCTAGAGGCCATGATAAAGTTGTTGACTAGAGTATCTGGAAGAATGGAGTTGCCATTTAGTGATAGAGGGAACGCTGGGGAGGATCCATTATTGGAGTGAGCATTAGCAGCTTGGTCTGGGGCACATCAAGCTTGGAAGGCATGTTAGTCATCCAAGTGGAGATGTTGAGTAGACAGTTGGACATGGGAGTCTAGAGTTTCAGGAGATTGGTCTGGGCTACAGAAGTGGATTTTTGAATCAACAGCCATGAGACTTGATAAGATTACCAAGGGAGTGTAGAGAGATAAGGCCTTGAGTGTTCCAATATTTAGAGTTTGGAAAGATGAGGAATAATCAGCAAAGGAGACTGCAAAAGAGGGCCAACAAAATGGTAGAAAATGCGGAAAGCCTGGTCACCTGGGAGTTAAGTAATGAAAGTGTTTCAAGGAGAAAGTAATCAGCTGTATCTAATGCTATACATGTGCTAAGCAAGATAAGAACATTGGATCTAGCAGCATAGAGGTCTCTGGTGATCTGAAAAAAGGCAACTTTCATGAAGTTGTAGAAGAGAAAGTTCAGTTATAATGGATCCTGAAGAGAGTGACAGAAGAGCGATTTATGACTCAAGGAAAGAAAAAACAAATGGGCTGGTAGTTAAAGGGAAATTGAGTCAAGAAAAGGTTCAATATTTTTTAATGGTAGAATTGACCGTATGTGTATGTGCTTCTAGAAGTGATTCAGGAGAGAGGGTGGAATGGATGGTGTGGGACGGAGGGAAGAATTGGTGGAATGATGTTGGCAAAAAGGAATAGGCTTTTGTGCATAAGTTGAGGGATTGGCCTTGCCTAGAAACATGGACAATTCGTCTATAGTAAGAAGAGAAAAGGTAGATCTATGACCACAGACATAGTCAGATAATCATTTTAAAATTCTTTAATCAATAGATGTTTCTGATGTATGGCAGGCAGTAAGCTAAGCAGTTTACATACCTGATTTCATTTAGTTATTATAACAATCCCAGTCTAACAATGAGGTAGATTCTGATATTATTCCCATTTAATTTGCAAGGAACTGAAATTTAGAGAAGTTAAAATGACTTACCAAAGTCATATAGCAAGCAAGTGACAGGACCAAGACTTAAGCCCTTGACTGCTGGACTCTAGAACTTAAGCAAGAAAGCATCAGCTTATGATGTTCATTGTCCTCCCACTCCCAGATCCCCCATTTCTTGCCCCTTTTGCTTGTTCCCCCTCCCCTCATTCTCCATATCCCAATAATCACTAAGTCCTGTCCATTTTACTTCCTCAGTGTTTCTTGCTTCTGGATCCTCTTTTTTGTATCCTTCCTATTCCTACCAGCCTTTGACCTCATCATTCTGACCTCATGTAGTCTAAATTAAATCGTCTATGGAACCAAACAATAATCGAACAGAATGTGATCCTTGATCATGCTTGCTCCATAACCCACTGCCTAATGAGTTCAAGTTTCTTAAACTATGCTATAAGCCTGCCACTACCCGGTTACTGCGTATTTTTCGAATTTCACATCTCACTGATTTCTGTCTTGTACTTTTTTTCTCAGCAGAGCTGAGCGCTTGCAGTCCCACTGCATGAACTATCATGTTTCCACGCTGTGTTTGTGCTTTATGATTTTTCCTTGTCTCTTTTCCTGGATTTTTTTTCTACTCCTCTTTTAAACCTCAGCTCCTGTTGCTTTCTCCAGGAAGGCATTTCTTTTTTTTTTTGAGACAGAGTTTCACTTCTTGTTGCCCAGGCTGGAGTGCAATGGTGCTATCTCGGCTCACTGCAACCTCTGCCTCCCAGGTTCAAGCGATTCTCCTGTCTCAGCCTCCCAAGTAGCTGGGATTACGGGCATGCACCACCACACCTGGCTAATTTTATATTTTTAGTAGAGACAGGATTTCTCCATGTTGGTCAGGCTGATCTTGAACTCCCGACCTCAGGTGATCCACCCGCCTCGGCCTCCCAAAGTGCTGGGATTACAGGCGTGAGCCACAGCACCCGGCCAGGAGGCCATTTCTGATGCCTCTAACTTGGGTTCATATAGTTTGCAGCCACAACGCCATCTTTTACTTGCCACATGGCTTTTATAATGATTTGCTAACATGTTTGCTTCCACTAGGCCATGACTTCCTTGAGGGTAGGGATCATGTTCCATTTGTATTTGTAGTCCTACCATATTACTTAATGTTTGGTTATAATAGTTTTTTGAATGAGTGAATAGCAGGGGTATACAATTTATCCAAGAAAAGAAGCAGCAGCATATTTTCCATTTAAGTGTGCAAAAAGTGAGTGAAAGGCTATGGTTTCAGAAATGTTTTTAAGTGTAGGTAAATGTATTAGTCTGTTATCACATTGCTATAAAGAAATACCAGAGGCTGAGTAATTTATAAAGAAAAGCTGTTTAATTGGCTTATGGTTCTGCGGGCTGTACAGCAAGTGTGGCGGCATCTGTTTCTGGAGAGGCCTCAGGAAGCTCCCAGTCATAGTGGAAGGCAAAGGAGAAGTGAGGTGTCTTACATGGCAGGAGCAGGAGCAAGAGGGAGAAGGGGAGGTGCTCCATGCCTTTGAACAATCAGATCTTGGCCGGGCGCAGTGGCTCACACCTGTAATCCCAGCACTTTGGGAGGCCGAGGCGGGAAGATCCCCTGAGGTCAGGAGTTCGAAACCAGCCTGGCCAACATGGTGAAACCCTGTCTCTACTAAAAATACAAAAATTAGCCGGGCATGGTGGTGTGTGCCTGTAATCCCAGGTATTTGGGAGGCTGAAGCAGGAGAATCACTTGAACCTGGGAGGCAGAGGTTGCAGTGAACCGAGATCATACCACTGCACTCCAGCCTGGGCGACAGAGTGAGGCTCTGCTTCAAAGAAAACAAAACAAAACAAAATTAAAAACCCAGATCTCGCAAGAACTCATTCACTATCCTGAGGACAGTATCAAGTAGATGGCAGTAAACCATTCATGAAAAACACCTCCATGATCCAATCACCTCCCACCAGGCCCACATCCAACATTGGGAATTATACTTTGGCATGAGATTTGGGTGGGGACACAGATCCAAACCACATCAGTAAGAGAATGCAAGGGAGAACTTAATATAGTTCATTATTTGACAGACACTAAGCACCTTCCCTGTACTGAGCAGTATTATAAGAGCTTCGGATAGATGAAGCTTTTGTCCTACTGTAGGGAAGTAGATAATAGGCAAATAAATCAAAAAAGAAAAAAAGAAAATTTCATGAAATGATAAAAGCTTTGGTGAAAACAAAACAAAAACTTTGTGGTGGTGTTGGGGGGCATGAGTAGCTGCCTTCAGTTAAGTAGCAGAAAAGGCCTGAGAAGGTAACATCTAACTAGAGACCTTGTGACATAAGAAGCAGCGAACCACATGAAGTTCTGGGGGAGCCGCCCAGACAGAGGGCGGTGGCTAGTGCACTGTTCCTAAGGAAGGAACAAGCTTGTATGTTTAAGGAGCAAAAGGAAGGCCAGTGTGGCTAGAACATGGAATGACGGGGAAGAGTGGTTAGACGTGAGCTTTTAGAGCATTTTGAGGAAGCTGGGGGCAAATTGGAGGGCTTTGTAGAATGGAGGAGGAGTTGGGATTATGGGGAGCCATTCAAGGGTTTTAAGAAAGGATATCATCTGAGTTATATTTTAAAAAGATCACTGATTGCTATGTGAAGAATGGATTGTAAGAGGTGAAGATTAAGTTGCTAGTTAGGAAGGTGCTGAGTAGGTTAATGAGAGGCTCTGGCTTGAATTAGGGTGATAGTAGGGAAAATGGAGAGAAGAGGTACATTTGGGAGCTTTCAGAGAACGAACTAAGTCCCTTTATTCCTCTACTCCTCACTGCCACTTACTAATAGTAAGTAGTGGAGGACTACAGAATGACTGCTAAGATTTTGGCTTTACTAAACTGACAGGATGATCATGTTATTTATGCGATGCAGTCAATTGTTGGAAAGAGTAGGAGACCAAGAGTTTTGTTTTGGACAGATGCTATTGGACATCCAAATACATACGTCACATTGGCAGGTTAGAGATGCGAATCTGAAGTTCAGTGGAACTAGAGATATAAATTTGGTACTCATGAGCACTTAGATGGCTTTAAAACATTTTAAAGGAGAAGGGAAACTGATTTTGCCAAATCCAAGGGTTTTAGGAACAGTGTGTTCAACCTGGTCAGATACCACTGAGAGGTTGAGAAAGGTGAGACTTGAGAAGTAATCATTGAGTTTGCCAACCTGGAAGTCATCTGTAAACTTGACAGTCACACAGATTCTGTGAAGAGGAGGGGACTGAAGCCCATGTAGAGTGATTGAAGAGAGAATCTAGTTACAGAGGCAGAGTTGCAACCCTAGGTTATTCTTTCCAAAAGTTTTGCTCTTGTCTTCTTAGTGAAGTGCACGAAGCCTTTGGACATCTCTGCAAATGGGTAGCAGTAGAACATGAATTAATAAGCTTTTGCCACAAGGTGTCACTAATTCTTCATTAGCTTCTAGTAAGCGAAATAATTGCAGCCCAGGTATACCTTGTATTAGGGAAATATTATTTTTAAAAATCATATTTACAAAGTAGGCCAACTTGGCCCGGCGCGGTGACTTATGCCTGTAATCCTAGCACTTTGGGAGGCTGAGGCAGGCAGATCACCTGAGGTCAGGAGTTCAAGACCAGCCTGGCCAACATGGTGAAACACCATCTCTACAAAAGTACAAAAATTAGACAGACATGGTGGCAGGCACCTGTAATCCCAGCTATTCGGGAGGCTGAGGCGGTAGAATTCCTTGAACCCAGGAGGCAGAGGTTGCAGTGAGCTAAGATTGCGCCATTGCACTCCAGCCTGGGTGACAGACAGAAAGAGACCCAGTCTCAAAACAAAAACAAAAACAAAAGCGAAACAAAGTAGCTAACTAGAAGGCAGTTACTTACATGGTGGAGAGGTTTCCTTTCAAAAGACAGTCTCTAGTATGTTTAACAAATGTGCATGGCCGTCAAGTGGTGCGTGGAGCACTGGGCTAGCAATCAGAAGACCAGAGTTCTGGGTGTAGAGTATTGGATTTGGAGTCAGAAGCTTCGAGTTCATCTCCTGTTTTGTTCTCACTAGCTATGTGACCTCATGCAAAATTTAAATTATTCTTTGTCTTATTTTGTTGTTGTTATTTTAAAACGATAGATAGTAAATGCTGTTCTGGCCATCTCAAGCAATTATTTTTGCATACCAAAAGAGATAATGTGTGTAACAATTTAGAAAATTATGAAGTGCTATGTAAATATAAGATTTAAAAAATTTTATAAAAATTATTTATACCGAACTTTACAGCAATATAGGTATTATGTAAAGCAGTTGTATTAGTGAGAACCCCCGGTTGCATAAGGGAGAAATCCAATTTGAATTTGCTTGGCAGAAGGGCATGTTTTGAAGTTTATGGGGTGGTTCCTGTGCCTTCAGGGATGGCAGCATTGTGGGTGGGCTTTAGGCATTGCTGGAATCAGAGATTGGAATGACGGCAGCATGTGTACCCTTCATTCCCCTTTGCTTCTGTCTGGTGCCTTTATTCTCTTTGGCCCAAACTTACCTCCCCTACCTTGTGGGGGAACATTTTGATATTGTGATTGTAGGGCACCTGCATGACAACATCCTATAGCTTGAGAAGGTGAGAAGCTGGGGCTGGAGAAGTAGACGTAGAATTACCTTGATTTTGATGAAGAGAATAAGAATTTTGAATTTATGAGTGCCATTGTCAGTTAATGCTGACCTTCCAGTTTTGAAAAATAAAACTCACATGCTCTGAAACAGTTTAATATCCTTGAGTCTGCATGTCTTTGCCTGCCTGCCCGTCCGCCCGCCCGCCTGCCTGCCTGCCTGCCTGCCTGCCTTCCTTCCTTCC